>NC_000005.10:153057467-153357784 GCF_000001405.40 Homo sapiens | reverse complement strand
TCTTGCCAGTGCTCTGCTTAATAACCTTCAGTACCTTCCCATTGCTCCTTGTATTAATCAGCTATTGGGGCAATAATGTTGCGTAACAAACTACCCCATAGTTCAGCGACTTAAAGTGACATCCATTTCTTCTCACTCACATGCTTGTGAGTTGGATGAGTAGTTCTGCAGATCTTGATTGGACTAAACTGGGCTTGGTTCCAGGCTGTAGGTTTGGTTCAGGTCTGCTTGGCATGTCTCTCCTTCTTTTGGGGCCAGTGGGCCACCTCAAGTGTATTCTTCTCATGGCAATGGCAGAAGCCCAAGAGCAAATCCAATTGCACAAGCACATTTCAAAGTCCTGTGTTGTGTCATGTCTGCCAACAGGCCATTGGCCCAAGGAGGTCACATGGCTAAGCCCAAATTCAAGAGGCTCTCTCTTCTTCCCACCATGGGGTTCTCTCAAGGGTATGATTTTTTTATGAGTTATTTGTAGATGGAGCAAATAATTTTGAGCACTATTTCCATCTACCACACAGAATAGCATCCAAACTCTTTATCATAGTCTCAAGACCCTAGCTAATTTGGCTCTTGACTACTCCAATTGTCATCTGGTGCCATTTTCTGCCTCTTCCACAGCATTCTAGACATGCTGATCTTCTTTCTCTTCATCAAATATACCAAGTTCATTCCTGCCCTAGAATCTTGAATCTGCTTTCCTCCTCCCTAGTCCAGATCTAATTAGGGCTGGCTCTTGCTGTCTTTCTACTTACATTTTACTTCCATGAAAGGCCTGGCTGTCAACTTAGAGACATCTTCCTTGCCTCATCTATTCCTTATTGCCTCAACTTGTTTTTTTTTTTTTTTCAAGGCATTTATCTCTGCCCAATACATTGTTGTTTATGCATGTGCTGGTTAGATAATTGTCTGCCTTCTGCACTGAAAAGTAAATTCCATGAGATAAAGCACCTTGTTTATCTTATTCAATTTTGCATCCTTAGTATCTAGAATAATGATTGGCACCTAGCTTTTGAATGATAAGAATATATATACACAGAAATTTTTCTCAGGAAATATCTCCCAAAACAGAGTAAATAAGTACTCAATATGACAACATTTATGCTCCCTTCCACAATTTTTTCTATTTATTTACTTTCATTGCAAGAAAAAAAAATCATAGGAAAATGAATAGACCAAAGGATCATTAAATCACCAGAAAGTACCACTAGGAAAGAGTTAGTGTATATCCTTCCAAACTTTTTTCTGTGTAAATATATGCATATGAAATTATTTTTATTTGCCTCATACTGCTTTTACTTCATGTTTGTCCTATTTTTATATCAATAATCACGAATTTACATAATTTATTGACAGAATACTATTTCTTGCACAGCTGGGTATGAACATTTTTGTGTTTTAAGCTTTGCACACATATCTCATTGGTTTCTTGGAATAAATGCTAGAAGTGGAATTGCTGGCTCAAACGGCCTTTGGCATCATTGAAGCCTTTTGGAGCACAAAGCCAAACGATCAAGGTTTACCAATTTATACTCTCACAAACAGTGTATGAGAATGCTACAACTATGTTATTTATTTAACATCCCACTGGTCACCTTTAGTCTAATTCAAAGAAAACTGAAGTCAGCATTGCCAATGTGCCTGATGTTTTTTTGGGCTCCGAAGGTCTGCAGTGCCTTGTAGCACACTTTGGGAATTGTTGTTTTAGGTCAAAGTTTCTTTTCCACGGACCTCCAAAGCATCTTAGGTAGAATTTCAGAGGCCCATGAACTGAAATGGCAACAATATTACAGCTTTAATTTTATTCATCTCTAACTGAAATTTAGATTTCCTTCAATTATGAATATAAACAATAGGCCTTAGTACCACTGGCAGTATTCTACCAATAGAAATCACAGATATTTTTATATCATATTGCAGTTATCTCAACTTTTTTTTATGTTCAGAGCTACTTTGAAATGAATGACAAGTTCAGTAGTATGTCTATAACTACACACTGGTAGTATGCCTATAGACATACCAGTATGTCATAGCAGTGTGTCTATGTCTATGAATATACTACCAGTATGTAGTTATAGACAAACTACTAAACCTTGTTACTGAACTCATTAATAAGGCAGTACACATATTACCATTTTCAAATTTATTATTTTTAAGATTTACATCTATATTTCAATATATTTGATTTCCATTGTAATCATGTCTTTTAATTAAAGTGTTAGGAACATTGCTATGAGAATGGGTCCATGGCTTCATCATCCTGCCAAACTCATCCATAGCACAACAAAATTTAATGATACCTACCATGGGGCTGGTGTTGGTTGGCTTGGAGACTTGATCTACAGTCAGGTCTAGGGCTGCCTGGATATTGGGATAGGTGAGTTGCTTGGGGAAAAGCCAGCTGCTGGCTGTGGGGAAGATGTAACAGGAGGGGGTCAGCAGAACCAGCAGACCAGGGTCAGGGAAGCACAGCCAAAGCTACAGCAAGAAGTAAGGCTCTAGGCAGGGGTTTCAAAGTGGTGACTCTGAAGCAAAATTCAGCAAATGTATCTTGCTTGGTCTCCACATATTTTTTATGTGGAACTTGAATGTCATCAATGGGGAAAGTACTCTATTTCTCTACGGTACCTAATATCATCTTTCATTTTACTTTTAGCTTCCTTCATTAATTTGCACTATGCCCTATGCCCTGCCCTGTAGGCACTTGAGTTTGCAAGCTCTGAGAGAAGTTAGCAAAAAGAGTTTGTTGGAGAATACAGTGAGTCACTATGGTGAGACCCTATGTATTAATTCATCTCCCCATGGATTAAAATCTCCACAAAGGTAGCAATTCCGTCGTGTAAAATGTTGTAGCACTGGTGCCTTGCATCCCAAAAGCACTCCATAAATGTCTGGCAACAGCTTGAAGGGCCAGGGCCAAATCTCCAGTATCCACATGACAGGAACACCCAGTACCTGGAGTGCTGAGGCCCCAGGCATAGAAACAAAGGGGAAGGAATTAGGAACCAGGAAAAAAGTCTAAGCCAATTCTCCACTTCCAGAAAATTCAGACACTGAGTTGGAAGTTTGCAGGTACAAGTTCAATAAAGGAAACAAACCCATGTATAACAGAATTGGCTACCTTCCTTGTCGTTAATTTCCCCACTTGAAAATATTGGTTTCAGAGCTTGGGGTAAGATGGAACTTGCATGTCGGGGCAAGAAATGGAAGGAAGGAGCGAGGCAGAGGTGATGTTCCATGATATCAGAGAGGCCTTGTTTGGTTAGAGTTTATCCTATTGAAAGTATACATACCTATCTGTAGCTGTTGAATAAATGGCTGCAATGCACTAAGCACTATCCTTCCACGGCTCCTGTGTGTTGTCTTCTGCTATATCGGGGATCACAAAAATCACATGCCCACAGGCCAGTTAGGGCAGACACAGGAGAGGTGGTGTTGCCTGTGTCAAAATGTCCTTGCCCAGTGGCAAAGGGAACAGCAGCCACTCAGCTTTAGCCAGTTGATATCATAAAGGGCCTATTGAAAAAAAAAATCAGATTTTTCACAGTTAGGTGTAATTTATAAAAACATTAAATCTCCCTACTTTAAAACAAATCACTTCTACAGGTTGTATATGTCATCACAGCCATTACATTTCAGTATTTGCCCAAATAAATGGTGAGGTGAGGGAGGTACTTCCCTTGGGTGTAAAATTTAGGTGGCACCAAAAAAACTCCTCAAGATAATCAAGATAAATAATATTGTGAAGCAGTATTTAAAGCAAATAATCAGTAATGGTGCCAGGTTGAGCCCTACTGAAGCCTGAGAAATAAGAAAAAAAAAAAATCAATGATACAGATCTGTCTTTATTTAAAATTGATATTTTCTTCATCATGGATTTTTTGGCATTAAATTTGATGGTTTTAAACTATTGTGTTAGAATATTATTTATCTGATGACTGGGCTTTTTGGCACCCCTCACATTTGTAGCCCAGTGCCTCCCACTCTCTTGACACTTGTCTGTTCTCTGCTCTGTTCATTTCCTCCACCTGTGAATTAAGGGGCTCCCTAAACCTGTCTAGTGACCAAAATGGCCCAGGGGGCTTCAGAAAATTACAAATTCCCACGTGTGACCCCAGGAGAGTCTGACTCATGAAGCCTGGGTGGGTTCTGGGGAAAGATCAGTGTCCACAGGGAATAGGTAATTGTGCTAATTGGTTCAGTTTGAGAAAAAGTTAGATCATTTTTAAGCTCCTTGCAGCTTTAATGTCATGGGATTTTACCTTATGTTCCTTTGCTTTTTAATTGTAAATACCCCTGGGATCATAGTCCATTAAATCAGTAACACTTTCATGTGAATTTATTTAATAGCTTATTTTTCTCTTGATAGGAAAGACCCTGGACACAAGTCCTGGGGGGAGGGGGCTAATGGAGGGAGAGTGGAGCTCAGGAAAGAGCTCCCCCGACAAAGAGGTTTCACTGATTTGAGGGGACCAGGAAGGCATCTTAGTTCAACTACGAACAACATGAAATTGCTTTTAATCAATCTGAAAATAAATGGAAGTGCATGCCGAAGCACCCTCTCTTTGAGGAGATGTCAGGAACACTTTCAATCTTTTATCTTCCCGAAAACAGCAGGAGGAACACCACTGGAATCAGCCCTGTAATTTCTACTCAGTAATTATACCTGTCACCACTTCCGACAGAGCAGATATAAATAGCCAGTTATCTTACTTTTCTGCTTTTCTTTGTATTATTCTTTCTCCAACCACAGACTTCAGTGCCTGATGGTAAAACCCATACAGGACACAAAGCATTCACAGAAAGTGCACTGCTAGACATTCGACCAGTGTTCCAAAAAGCCACATGCGATAGATTGAGAGAATCTCATTTGCCCACAGAAATGTGGTCTCTAAGATTGATGACAGGTGACAGGGAGAGATAGGCACCAAGGGAAGGGGTCTTGCTTTCCGTTTCTATTTTCATTTCACTCCCGGTAGGGATGCGCACGTGTGTGCGTGCCTGCTGCTCTGCGTGTGTTATTACACCCACGTACCTGGGCTCCTCTGTGCCTGAGTGACTCACTGGGAGGAAGTCAGGGCTTCTGGGAGGTGGATTAACCCTTTCAGAAGGGTCCCCAAAAAGCCATGTCAGGATATCACCATTCTCAGGCCGAGCACAATAGGAACATGCCCGAACATATTCATTATGATGGCGGTTATTACTATTGCTATTAATAAAACTGTCACACAGTCACATAGTACTTTGACTTGTTTTGCAAAGGGATTTGACATAAATTATTTTGGAAACTCCCACCAGAAGAAATGTGCTATAGTTGAAAGAAGATGGGTTTTGAAGTCAGGTACTCCAGAACTCAAATCCTGCCTTTTCTACTTGCTTATTGTGTTGAATAGAGGTGAAATCACTTTTCTGAGTCTCAGTCTTGAAATCTGTGAGATAGTAATAATAATGATGATAATGTTTACCTTGGAGAATTTCTCTTGGAGGATTATATAGAATAGCATATGTAAAAACCTGCCACTATCTGTTAGAATAGTTCTCAGACTTTAGCATCCTTAAACTCACCCAGAGGACTTGTGAAAATACAGAATTCTGGGCCCCATCCCGGCATTTCTGATTTGGTAGGTCTATGGTAGGGCCTGATAATTTGCATTTCTAACTAGTTAGCAAATGCCACTGCTGCTACTGGTCCAGGAACCACACTTTGAAAACCACTGATTAGTAATCAGTACATGTTAGGCTTTGCTGTTTTATGAATTTAATAAAAACTAATTATTAAGTGCCCTCCACATACCAGTACCAGGCACTGTGCTTGATACAAAGCAGTGCCAGACAGATATGACTTTTCCCTTACAAAACATGCTCTAATGAGTAACACAAGTCTCTCCCCTGTCCCACTGCACTACTACCATCAAAATGAAATAAAATGGCATATTTCAGGAAGAGGAAGGCAGTCAGGGGTGAGTGATATGAGCTAGGTTGGAGAGCGGGGCATGTGAAATGCTGACACCCACCACACTGATAATAGTCTCGCTGTAGATTGCATGAACTATGTTCAGATGACTGCCCAGAGATGGAGCCAGGTTTTGTGGGTTCTGGAGCTTACATGTTTTGGAGATCCACTTTAAGAAAAATGGGACCAGGCACGATGGCTCCCGCCTGTAATCCCAACATTTTGGGAGGCCAAGGTGGGCAGATCACCTGAGGTCGGGAGTTCGAGACCAGCCTGACCAACATGGAGAAACCCCGTCTCTATTAAAAATACAAAATTAGCCGGGCATGGTAGCGCATGCCTATAATCCCAGCTACTTGGAAGGCTGAGGCAGGAGAATTGCTTGAACCCAGGAGGTGGAGGTTGCAGTGAGACAAGTTCATGCCATTGCACTCTAGCCTGGGCAACAAAGTGAAACTCCAAAAAAAAAAAAAAAAAAAAAGAAAGAAGAAGAAAGAAAGAAAAACAGGTACAAAATTATGAGTACAAAATTAGGAAAAGAGCAGTGGACAGGGCCCATATAAGAGAGGGGCCCTGAAACTTTAATAAGTCTCATTAGCTTCTTGTAAGTCCTCCTTCACCTGTATCTTAACATGTATGTGCAATCAGGGTCACTGATAGCAAGAAGTCTACAGCATAGCTGGCAAGATGGATCTGTCATGCCTGACCTAGAGCTGGTAGCATCTGCAAAGAGTTAAAGCAGTGAAGCAGGAGGCCAGAGAGGTGCTGGGCAAAGGGACCTTAGCTATCTTAAGTAGGTGGGTGGGTGCTACTGGCATCTGATAGGCAGAGGTCCGAGACGTTGCTAAACATCCTATGGTGCACAGAAACAAGCCCCCACAACAAAGAATTATCTACCCCAAATGTCAATAGTAACAATGTTGAGAAATCCTATTATAGGGCAGGAATGTTCTCCAGGTAGGAGACGCAGTAGGAGATGACTAAAACTTGACTGTATTGAGAGAGACCTCTACTTTCCCTTACTGTGGAGCCCTGGTTTCTCCCTGCTCTGTCTGGATCCCTCTCCTTCAGATACCTGCATAGTAGTTAGGTCTCCCCACTCCTTCATGGTCTCCTTCGGTTCTCCCTCATTGTAGTCAGGTCTCTGCTCAGGGGTCACCTCCTGGGATGTCTTCCCTGACCACACCCACTCAGTCTAAACTGGCCCCCAGCTCTTTCTATGCCTCCTAATCACTTTCTCTGCCTTAGTTTTCTAAGCTCTTGATACCTGACATCATGACGTTCCTTTTTCAAATGTAAGTCTCATCAAGGCTTGTGTTATCTATTTCTCTAACCTCAGAACCTGGTAGCTTGTGTGGCACACAGTGGGTGCTTAATATGTGTTAAATGGATGTAAAAAGGTTTTATTGACATGCTAGTGTTGTTGAATAACAACCTATTGATGCAGCCTATTGTTATTAACATTGTAAATGGGGTTATTGTGTCCTACTTAGACTGCTACATGATACCGACCAGAGGATTCTCATTATTTCAGCCTTTGTGTGGAGACAGCGGATACTCCCTGAGCCCTGTGGCTTGGCAGCAGCCTCACATTTTTCAGTGTCTGCTTTGAGAATAAAGCTGATGGGCTCTGAAGGGACTGCCCTCCATCACTCAGTCCTTCCATCACCCGCTCCGCAAATGACAACCTCTGACGGGAAAGTATGGGGAGCCAATTTGGAATTAATGCCCTGCATCTGGAGGGAGACTGTTTAAGACAGCAAATATTCAGGAAGCAAATCCAGACTGTTGGATGAACGACAGGGAGAGAAATTCAGATGCCCTGCCTGAGCACAACTTTACACCTTGACAACTGCTTTGGGTAAGGCACTTGAGTCAATGCAACTTGAATTTGTTTTTGTTTGTTTTTTTAATTGGTAGAAGGGAGAACCCCGAGAACAGAAAATTGCCTGAATAACCCATTTAGACATGATCCTGAGCAAAGGGTGAAATAAACAAAGAATGGAATCAATGTCATTTATTCCACAAACATTTACTGAGTGCTTATCATATGCCAGGTCTTGTATAGAAAGTGTTATTGTCATTTTCAGGAATAAGAAAAACGAGGCCCAGAGAAACATAATAACTTGCCCAAGGAAAATCAACCGGTCAGTGGCTGCTCCTCACACATTCAAGCTCATTCTCCCTTCAGGACCTTTACATGTGCTGTGCCCTCTGCTTGATTCCTTCCTCTTCAGGTATGTGATTGGCTGCATCTTTCTGTCAGGATTAAGCACAGCTGTCACCCCCTCCCAGAGGCCCTCCTTGATCATGCTTTTTCAAAGTTGCCTCACCCTTCACTCTGTCGTATGACTTTGCTTTATTTATTTATTTATTTTTTTTTACCATTTCTATGACTACTTGAAATTATATACTTTAATGTCTCTCTCTATCTCTCATTCATTCTCCCCAAATAGAATGTCACCTCCATTGAAGCCGGGTCTTTACAGTTTTGTTCAGTTTCCAGCACCCACACTAGGACCAGCACGTAGGAATCGCTCAATAAATATTCCTTAATAAATAAATTGGCAGAGACAGACCTTAAACCAGATATATCTGAAACCGAATTTCCTATTCCTCAGTGCCAAGGGTCCTGCCTCTTGGAGAGTTTTGTTAATACCCTGATCCGACATTTAAGAGCTATAGAAACTTGTATGAGTCACTTTCTCTCTCTGGGCCTCAGTTTTCTCATCTGTGGAATGGGATGGGATCCAGAGTTCTCACTCTTCCCAACTCTAAGGGTTTCTCCAAGATACCTACAAATTAATGCTTCTGGTCATTTTTATTTTTAAATTTAATGTTATCTACTGTAAGGTATTAAAACATTACCTGATAAAGAATGTGTGTGGGCTTAGGTAGTTCTGAGGTCACATGTTGACTTTCCTACTTATCTATGTGATATTTGGAAAGTTTCTAAACTGCTTTGACATTAGCTTTCTCATCCACAAGATAGAAATAATGACACTTTAGAAGATGGTTGTGGAAATTAGATGAAGTGCCACAGAAAAGACAGAGAAATTCCTGGCATTTCGGAGACAGTTGACAAACGTGAGTTGCTTTTCTGCTTTAATACAATCAAGCTACAAAGACATGGTCAGTGTCAGAACCCTGAGGACTCACAGACAGGTATGCAGTGCAGGAATAAATATGAGGGAAAAGATCTAGGCAGAAGAGGAGAGTTAAAAATGTATTTAATAATAGTTATTAAGCACTAATTTAGTGTCCTGTCTTATGATCAATGAGATGCAATCTATAAATCTAATGAGATCGACATGTGGACAGACAGTGTTTTTGTATTCTTTCTTTTGTGTTACTACTTTCTTTTTTTCTTTCTCTCTGTCCCTTCCTTTCTCCTTTGTTCCCTTTGCAACCTCACAAAGTTTCTGTGGGTTGGGGATTGGAAGAATCTTAGATGGGCTGTTCTGGCTTTAGATTGTTCAAGAGGCTGCAGTTGTTTCAAAGCTTGATCTGGGTAGGATCTGTTTCCAAGAAGTAGCTAACTCACATGGCAGTTGGCAGATCTCAGAAAACCCACTTCCCAACTCATTCCTGTGGACTTTCTACAAGGTTGTCTTATGGCATGTCCACTGGCTTCCCCTGGAAGTAAGTGATCCAAGAGAGAACAAGAGAATCCAAGATGGAAAACACAGTGTTTTTGTAACCTAATATCAGAAGTGACATCCTATTACTTGTGTGTTAGTCTATGGTATTCTATTAATTAGAAGGTAGATTTTAAGTTCAGCCCACATTCCAGAGCAGAAGAGTCTGTCACATCTGATTTACAATTTTATTTGATAAAAGAATGCCCTTGCTTCAAACAAACAAATAGAAAATGTTTGAGAACTACTTTCCTAGATTATGGCCATGATCATCTTAGCCTAGAATAGTGGTTTTCAATCTTGGCAACCCACTGGAATTACTTAAGCTGTTTTAAAAAAAAATACTAGTGGCTGGGTCTCAACCCCAGAAATTCTTATTGAGTTGCTCTGTGATGTAGCCTGGAAATTGGGATTTTTTTCAAAAGCTCCCCCAGTTAATTCTAACGTGTAGCTAAGGCTGAGAGTCACTGGCCTAGAATATTTTCCAGGAAGTATTTCCCATAAACCAGTATAGCAATTTAAAAATACCTCAATAGTACACTTTAATAACAACAAACTTCAAATCATGTGACACCCTGGTGAACTCCCAGAGAAAAAATTAGTTGTGAAATGTAATAAAATAATCAAATAAATTGACCTGTTGTCAGAATTGTTAGTGCTGACCTAACTTGGCATTGTAGGGTGGCAGAAGGTGTCTGTCAAAAATGATTTTGGCTTCAAAGCAGTTGTGATTCAGAGCCACTTATCTTCTACAAATATTTGATAGCAGGGCTCATGGTGTATTGAGGACACTCCTGGCTCAGGAAAATAAACCTTCATCAGGAACGTTTTAGAAGGATGCTCTTCTGTCTATTCACTGTGGTGGGAGAACCTCCACCTAGCTTATCCAGGAGAGGTGTGAAGGCAAGAAAATACTGGTTTAAAAGACTAGGTCCCTGTTTTATCCGCACTTGAATCATTAGTTGATCCAACTAGAGATTTTTTTCTCTATCTGCTCCTACCTCTCTTTGTGGGTTTAAGGTGACCATTCTATAAAAATATAACTAATGAAGTGGGAAGAGAGAGGAAATATGAGGTCAAATAACACAGCTGAGTTTTTGAGAGTTGATTGTAAATGCGTGAATAATGCTTCTTAGCCAAAGGCAGCCAGAATGATGAAGGAGAGATTAAGAACTACAAATGGTAATGACTGCAGATACCATACATTAACTACAGAGACTGGATAATTACACTCAAGGGTCAGGATAGCAAAAGTGATATACATGCCTGCTTCGTGGATGCCCATTGCTGCCAGGAAAGATGTGGAATAAATGAGCACAAGTAGAACATGAATATTTTTCACATTAGAATTGCAATTACACTGAAAATAAAAGTTTAAAAGAATTATTAATTATCAGATATAGATTATAAAATACACTATCATGTTAATTACTACTACCACCACCACTGAACTGACTAGGGAACTCATCACTGTATTATAATCTATAAGTATTATCTTATTTAATGAGTATGATAGCTCCAAACTTACATATGAATGCTTCCATGTTGCTCACGAGGAAATTGAGGCATTGAGAGTCAATAACTTGTCCAAAGTCATCTAGCTAGAATGGGGTAGAGCCAGGACTTTAACTCAGGTCTGTTGAACTCCAAACATACACCCTTTAAATTTTATAAGATGTAATGAGGGAAGTAACGTGAGCTGTACAACTTCAGGAAAAATATATTTCTGTGGGCTAGGTTTGAGATAACATTTTGCCCATCCCTGTGACTTTGAATTCTTGAGTCAGTAGGATCTCAAGATTCTGACAGCCATGTTCTTCTGATCTCATGGTATCTCATGGCCCTTTGACTCTTGTTCACTGAGTGGAAGAATGAAAGAAACCAATGCTGTGTATGTCGTGTGTTATAGATCTCTTCACAGAGTAACAAAAGCATAACCATAGTAAAGAGTAGTTCTACGTCTAAAGCAGAGTCTGTTGACCTGAGAAACCCAAAACAACATATATTACAAAGGAAATCATCATGCATTTTAGATGGGCATTATTGTTTGCTAACGTGTTGCTTAGGACTTAAGGTAGAATAAAAAATGTACTGCAAATAGGTTCAAGTCATATCCAATGAGAAGACAGAACAGGGGAGGGAGTGATTCTAAATGGTCCAGAGTCAGCATAAAAGGTAGAATCATAGGAGTCTTCTAGAAGACAGACTCACTGGATCTGACATTTGAAGGATGTGTAGAATTTCTAGAAGCAGACAACAGGCAGTGATATGGTAGAGCTGGCTCATGAGAATGGAATGTGCATGTCTCTTCCCAACTCTTTGTCCAATGACATCTAATTGGTAGTTTGAAATTGGCCATAATGAGACTATTTACATCATGGAAATGGGCAAATATTACAAATCAGTACCAGCACACCACTAAAGATAAGTTAGAAGTCCCCTGTAGTTAGAGATGCTGGTGTGAGTGTACATTAGGAGAAATCAAGTGACATAAGATATCTAGAGGAAAATCAGGTTGGATGAAGCTGGCAAGGTGGAATTGAGCCAGACTGCAGGAGTCCTTGAATGCCAAGCCAAGGAATCTTGATTTTATTTTATTGGCACTGGACCCATCCAAAAATGTTTTGATATAATCCCATTTGTATTGTGGACTCATAATTCCAGTGCCAGAACCACAATTGGATTTAAAAAGTGAGGGATTGCAAATGGGAAACCACTTAGGAGGCTATAGTAGTAAATAGCATAATAAAAAGCTGATAGAGATTTGGACAGAGCAGTAATTTATATGAGAGAGAATGGAGTGGACAGAAATGACATGGATAAACACTTAGAAAACTTGACAAAAGATTGAATGAGAGTTATTGGGGTAATGTAGAGGGGTGTCAATATTACCAAAGTTACTTGCTTTGGGGACTGAGAGGTGATAGTGACATTTACAAAGATAGGAATAAAAGAGGGAAGAGTATGAGTGAGAGGTAAAACTGTCAGTTGTGGGCATGTGAAATTTGAAGATGTTTCGGTCATTAAGATATTCTAGTCTAGATCTCTAGAGAGAGGTCAGGAACAGAGATGGTAAAGGCCAACTGAATAACATTCTTTGTATTGAGGATTATAAAATTAAAGTAAAAGTTATGTTTTCTCCCTCGTGTAATTTGCAATCTGGGGGAGGGGATGTCATGATCCACCAACACAATAATTCAGATACTAAAAGGTAGGATAAAATAAATGCCAACACAATAGCATTAGTCAATAAGCACAAAAGGACTGAAGAAAGGGATTGATCAATGGGCTGAACAGTTTCCTTTTGCCTCTCCAGATTGATTTTCTGGCTTCTCCACTCTGCTATGTGGACAGGGAACCTGTAATGCCTGGGCCATGTCAATGAGCTCCTTGTTTTCTGGCTTACAGTGAGTTTGGCAAATGGAAGGTGTCAAGAGGAGATCCCAGGAGAGTGAGACTGGAATATTTATTCCTGTGACTCCCTTCATGCTAGGTCACTACAGATTGGCTGCATCCCTCACTACAGCACAGCTCCATACTGGTATATTTGGGGGTTCCAATAACTGCTCTCCCTTCTTACCCCTGAATGGGTAGAGCTATCAAAACTCGGACATGGACTTAGCCTTGAACTTCCATATCCTTCATTGCACAGATGCCTTCCAAACCCTGGAAGGGACCCTAGCAATGTGCTGATATGGTCATATGTTGCTTGGATACTTTGCTAAAATTAAGTCTTGTAGTAGGCAGGATTCTAAAAGTGATCCCCAAGATTTCCTGCCCGATTTCCCAGGACCTGTGACTATTATAAGATATGATGATGCTATGTTATATGGCACAGTTTATTTTAAGATAGGGAGATTATCTCGGTAGGCTTATCTAATCATATGAGCTCTTAGAAGTGGAGAGCTTCCTCCAACTGGGGGCAGAAGAGAAGGTCAGAGGAGTCTGAAGCATGAGCAAGACTGGATGTTCCATAGCTAGCTTGGAGATGGAGAGTGTTGAGAAATAATGCAAGCAACTTTAAAAAGGTAACAGAGGCTCCAAGTTGACAGCCATCAAGGAAAGGAAGCCCTTAGTCCTATAGCTGCAAGGAACTACATTCTGCCAACAAACTGAATAACTCAAAAGCAGATTTCTCCTAGAGCATCTAGGTGAGGACTCAGCCTGACATTGTGAGTTCAGTCTTCTCATGCCCTAAGCAGAGAACCCAGCCACATGGTACTGGGTTTCTGATTTACAGAACTGTGAGCTAATAAATAGATATTGTTTTAAGCTTCCAAGTTGGTGGTAATTTGTTAGGCAGCGACAGAAAACTAACAAAGATATTACAATTCATATTGAATAAGACTGATGTCTCCTTCTACTCTCACTTTTTTTTGTCATATTTCCCTTTGTATCTGATAATATGGAGTATTACTCCAATGGGAAATTGGAGGATCTGACTCAGAGGAACTTGCATTGGATATACTTAGTTACTTAGATACTAAATCTCAACCTGGCATATAATTTTACATGATTTGCAGTCACTTTAATGATCTACTCTACTAGTTCATCTGGCATCACCATACAGAAATGCATCACCAGAGGCTGAATTGCCATATGTCCTTCGGAGCCTGACCCAGAAGCACCTGGGTCCTAGTGGAGAAGTAACATTTGAAATATGCAGAGCCAGAAGCTAATCTGTGAAAATTTCTTCCAAATCTTTATAGGACACATGTGAAAACAAAAGTGGTAAATATTTTCCCAGCTTTCAAAATAATCCTGAACATTTATGTGACATTACCTAAAACAAGTTATAAAATTAAAGTTAATCATAAAAAGAAACTCAAAGTTTTCCCAATTTTGATGTCAATTTTTAAAATATGCATGACATTACCAACAACAACTTATGAAGCAAACCACTGTCATTTGAGGAGGTAATCAGAGTATGTAGCCAAAAATGTAGGGCAAAAGTGTTATAGTACTTCATTAGGCAATTAACATGTCTACATATGTTTTTAGATTTTATAGTATTTGTGGTAGTTTCATCTAAGTGTATGTTATTGTAATGTATTTTCTCATTTGAAAACATTCATTTGCATTATTAATTTTGTATTTGGAATTTTGTATCTTTTTTCTGAAACAGAAACGTAATATGAGTAAATGAATACACAATCAGGTCCCACAAACCCTGGACCTGCTCCATAAGTCTCCTCCTGTTACTAGTCTTGGGATACTACACTATATCTTGTTAGTGTCCCTGAACTTGCCTACAACTTGGTAAAAAGTGCTTTATTAAGTTTCCCTCAAAGTTCACCATGAAGTGTCCCATCTGTTTCTACATGGGACTCTTCCAGTTGATACCCTCAGGGTTGTTTTGGCAACCTTAAAAAATGGGTGGGCTCTCACAGTAAAGAGAAACAAGAAGGAGACTATTTTGGTCAAGAGAGCCGTGAAAGCCAAGGAAAGTACAGAGGATCCCAAGCTGGCTGGAGCAGTAGTGGCATTCACTCTGGGGATTAGTCACATGCATATTAAAATTGCTCATTTTAAAGTTCCATACCCATAAGTCAAACTTTGCTAAATTTGGCCAAGACTACTATTTTTGCCTCTGGTCTGTGTAGTCTTATATTTTATTCTCATTTAGTGTTGATCTTGGAGACAGTAAGTATTAACATATTTCAATGCTTCTTTCTGCTAAGTTGCTGAAAATCTAAAAGCTTGTTGGAAGAATCAAGATAGCATTTGTCATTTTATGTGTGTGTGTATGTGATACATATGTGTGTGTATGCATGTATATGTACATGTGCACACATACCAGATGGGGACACCATTACAGGGGCCATTTCACAAAGCCTAAATTAGGCCTCTCAGTGGGCCACAGAGAGTGCTGTTTGCTTAAATTATGGCTGACATTTTTGGAATCTTTGCAAAGGGTGCTAAAGGGAATGGCCACATAAGGTTAACCAATCCTTAGACAGGGCTGTTTGTTAAAGTAGAAATAACCTGATAATGACATTAGTACCCCTTAGTTCTGTAAAACAAAACAAAAAACAAAACAACAACAACAACAACAAAAAACAAAAAGGAACCTCATGTTCAGTGCAGAAAACTTGAAAAATATAAGAAAAGACAAAGAAAAATATAATAAATATAATTACCTATCAACATTTTACCACATTCCCTTTAAATATTTTTTTCTGTACATGTCTACATTTCAGATGACATTGTCCTGCAAGTACTCTTTATACCCTCCTTTTTTAGTAATATAGAATTGTTTTTCCATGATCACAAATATTCTTCCCTACCCACTTTTAACAACTTCTATTGTTTTGCCTGCTAGAACAATTAAACATGACTATTTTAGAAAATGCAGAAATAGATCAGTAAAAAAAGAAAGAGAATAGAAAAGAAGCTACAATATCCAGAATTTATCATTCTTGTTATTAATAATAGTTGCTATTAACATTTTGATATAGTATAATTTTTAATGGTTGCATCATATTTCATCATATGGATACAATGTAATTTAGTAAAAGAATTCTGTACATTAGATATTAAGTGGTTTTCAATTAGGTTGTTTTCAGTGTTCAGTTTTTTGCTATAATATATAAACCTAAGATGAACATTTTTATTCATCCACATTTATATCTATATATAAATGTGTGTATGTATATGTGTATATATGTGTATGTGTGTATATTTGTGTGTGTGTGTGTGTGTGTATGTGTGTGTTTAGTTCCTTAGGATGTATTCCACTTTTAATGCTTGGCATGTTTTAATACTGTAGAACCCTAAAATGATAAATGGCTCTTAATTAGCCAGGTGCCCAGGGCTTTGCAACCTTCCTCAAAGAATAAGCTCCCTAGGGCAGCTGCATTATCTGTTGACTTGCTGGGAAAGCACTGGAACAAAAAGCCAATGATTTTCAAGAAGGATAATATAGTGTGTCTTAAAGTCTAATTATATATAATCTATTACCAAACATGTAGCTGACATTCTAAAATGTTTTCCTTGGTATATTTAAAATATGTATTTAGAAAAAAAACATTTTTTTCTGTAAAACTCCTTCGTTTTTTTTTTAGTCTGTCCTATTCCTGCCATCCTTAATGTCTAGTTAAATAGTTTATAAAAAAATTTTGTGTTACAGAATACTTAGAACCTAAGGACCCTTGCTCCAAAAAAAGCACACATATATTTACTGTTTCAAAGCCCAGAGGCCTTCAGAGTCATGTTTCTCTTTAGCACTTTACTAATATTGAATACACCCTATCCTTCATGAATATGAATAAATTTCTCTCCATGTGCATTTTGGGGCCTCTTTTGGGAATTTACCTACTTTCCCTGGTTGCTGTTTATCAACCATTTCTCTAGATGTCATCAGTCTCTTCTTACAGCTTAAGAACATTTCTTCATACTGCTGCCACTCTTTATGGTTTCCTTTGACCCAGGCCATGACGTAGGCCTTCTGTTAGTTTGCAATAGCTAGGGATAGAGAAATTATAGTACAGAGATGAAGGAGAAATGAAACTGATTATTGGAAAGAATTGCTGTAAAATTGAATAACTGTGACTCCCATGGAAGGTCCTATGATAGTCATCTCTTGCTTATCAGCTCCAGTCCACAGGCGCCAGTTGGCCCCTATGGATTAGAGACCCCAATCTAGTCTTCTCAACTCCGAATCTAGACTCAAATATCCCTCTCTTTTTTTTGGAGGGGGGAGTTCAGGAGTGAAGGATGTGGTCGTCATTGAAAATATAATAAACTTTTCAGGGGTACAGCTGTATGCACCATGAATGATGTTTTTATATTCAGAATGCTTGGCCTGAAGCATATAGAATATGTCACTGTCTCCGTGTTTTCTGAGAACAATGAGTAGATGCTTGCCAGAAATATCTATGACTAAATGAGTCATCACAGTGATATCTCAAAACAAAGAATATACCTGCATGAAAAACAAATTCTAGCTTCAATATAGAATGCAGAAAAGATATTTGATACCCTTTTCCATGCTATCATTTTTATAAGTTCAACGATAATTTGAATAACTCACCTACAACAGCTAAAATAAATTGCTGACAGATTTAAAAACCTATTTTTCTCAATCCCACAACTACCTCATTGGACTGAATATTATAGAATACTTCGACTCACCTCTCACCAGCTCCAGTTACAAGCTCCATCTCAACTTCTTTTTATTTTTTTTTTCTGACCTGTACTGATGCCTCCTTTTTCTGAAAAATGTCCACCTAACAAATGATTATTTGCAAGGGTGTGTTATTAGATATTATTCTTATTTCACAAATATTGGTCTAGATTTTTGTTTAATTGGAAACTCTTTGAAGGCAGACATCTTGTTTTTACTTTTATTTTTAGCAATGACAAATACATCATCCAATAAATGCTGCACTGTGTTTTCTTACATCAAAGATGCTATTGATTGTGTGACTGCACCATTGATTTAATAAAAGCTTTTTAGAAAACAAACAAAAAATTAACTGCATTAAGTGTACACATTGATTGGTAAACTCATCCCAATTTTAGAAGCATTAATATGAGAATGGAGGGAATAAATAAGTGCATCTTAGGTAGAGGAAATGTGGCGTGGTAAAACGTGGACTATCACACCTCTAAGGACCTAAAAATGTAACCCAAATGCAAAAATCTTTCCAGAGTGGATATGCTTAATCTAGGGTTAATGAGTGGAAATCAGAGGATATATCAACTGAACTGAAATTTATATGTATGTGTATTTATATGTATGTGTAGGGATTTTTCTTAGGGAAGGATCAAATACACAACTGTATTTATATGTATGTGTAGGGAGTTTTCTTAGGGAAGGATCAACATATTTCATGAGCCTCTTAAAAACTTTACTGACCTCAACATTCCTAAGGTCAACTAACCTAGAGTACCCCTTGTGAGCAATCATTCAGTCTGTGTTAGAATATCTCTACAGGTAGGTTTATGTAATCATTCAATGCTTCTAAGAATTAAATTACACTGGCAGCAGCACCACAAAGCCACTACAGCCAGGTTGCCTCTCTAGATTCCTCCTGTCTGAGCAGGGCAACTCTGAAAGAAAGGTAGCAGCCTCAGTCAGGGGCTTATAGATAAAACTCCCATCTCCCTGGGACAGAGCACCTGAGGGAAGGGGCAGCTGTGGGTGCAGCTTCAGCAGACTTAAACACTTCTGCCTACCAGCCCTGGAGAGAGCAGTGGATCTCCCAGCACAGCGTTCGATTTCTGCTAAGGGAGAGACTGTCTCCTGAAGTGGGTCCCTGACACCTGTGCCCCATGCCTGGGAGACACCTCCCAGCAGGGGTTGACGGACCCCTCACACAGGAGAGCTCCGGCTGGCATCTGGCAGGTGTCCCTCTGGGACGAAGCTTCCAGAAGAAACAGGCAACAATCTTTGCTGTTCTGCACCCTCTGCTGGTGATACCCTGGCAAACAGGGTCTGGAGTGGACCTCCAGCAAACCTGCAGCAGAGGTGCCTAAATGTTAGAAGGAAAACTAAAAAACAGAAAGGAATAGTATCAACATTAACAAAGAGGACATCCACATAAAATCCCCATCCAAAGATCACCAGCACTAAAGACCAAAGGTAGATAAATCCATGAAGATGAGAAAAAACCAGTGCAAAAAGGCTGAAAATTCCAAAAACCAGAAAGCCTCTTCTCCTTCAAAGGATCACAACTCTTCACCAGCAAGGGAGCAAAACTGGACAGAGAATGAGTTTGATGAATTGACCAAAGTAGGCTTCAGAAGGTGGGTAATAGCAAACTCCTCTGAGCTAAAGGAGCACATTCTAACCCAATGCAAGAAAGCTAAGAACCTTGAAAAAAGGTTAGAGGAATTGCTAACTAGAATAACCAGTTTAGAGAACATAAATGACCTGATGGAGCTGAAAAACACATCATGAGAACTTTGTGAAACATATGAAACATACACAAGTATCAATAACTAAATTGATCAAGCAGAAGAAAGGATGTCAGAGACTGAATGTTAACTCAATAAAATAAAGTGTGAAGACAAGATTAGAGAAAAAGGAATGTAAAAGAATGAACAAAGCCTCCAAGAAATATGGGACTATGTGAAAAGACCAAACCTACATTTGATTGGTGTACCTGAAAATGATGGGGAGAATGGAACCAAATTGGAAAATACTCTTCAGGATATTATCCAGGAGAACTTCCCCAACTTTGCAAGACAGGCCAACATTCAAATTCAGGAAATACAGAGAAGACCACTAAGATACTTCTCGAGAAGAGCAACCCTAAGACACATAATTGTCAGATTCACCAAGGTTGAAATGAAGGAAAAAATGTTAAAGGCAGCCAGAGATAAAGGTCCGGTTACCCATAAAGAAAAGCCCATCAGACTAACAGTGGATCTTTTTACAGAAACCCTACAAACCAGAAGAGAGTGGGAGGCAATATTCAACATTCTTAAAGAAAAGAATTTTCAACCCAGAATTTCATATCCAGCCAAACTAAGTGTCATAAGCAAAGGAGAAATAAAATTCTTTACAGACAAGCAAATGCTGAGGGATTTTGTCACCCCCAGGCCTGCCTTATAAGAGTTCCTGAATGAAGTACTAAATTTGGAAAGGAAAAACCAGTACCAGCCACTGCAAACACATACCAAATGTAAAGACCATTGAAATTATGAAGAAACTGCATCAACTAATGTGCAAAATAAAGCTAGCATCATAATGACAGGAACAACTTCACACATAACAATATTAACTTTAAATATAAATGGGCTAAATGCCCCAATTAAAAGGCACAAACTGGTAAATTGGATGAAGAGTCAAGAGCCATCAGTGTGCTGAATTCATGAGACCCATCTCACATGCAAATACACACATAGGCTCAAAATAAAGGGATGGAGGAATATTTACCAAGCAAATAGAAAGCAAAAAAAAAAAAAAAAAAAAAAAAAAAAAAAAAAAAAAAAAAAAAAGCAGGGGTTGCAATCCTAGTCTCTGATAAAAGAGACTTTAAGCCAACAAAGAGAAAAAAAGACAAAGAAGGGCATTACATAATGGTAAAGGGATCAATGCAACAAGAAGAGCTAACTATCCTGAATATATATGCACCCACTTACAGGAGTGCCCAGATTCATAAAGCAAGTTCTTAGAGACCTACAAAGAGACTTGGACTCCCACACAATAATAGTGGGAGACATTAACACCACACTGTCAATATTAGACAGATCAATGAGACAGAAAATTAACAAGGATATTCAGGACTTTAACTCAGCTCTGGACCAAGCAGACCTAATGGACATCTACAGAACTCTCTACCCCGAATCAACAGAACATACATTCTTCTCAGTACCACATCACACTTGTTTTAAAATCAGCCACGTAACTGGAAGTAAAACACTCTTCAGCAAATGCCAAAGAACAGAAATCATAACAGTCTCTCAGACCATAGTGTAATCAAATCAGAACTCAGGAATAAGAAACTCATTCAAAACCACACAACTACATGGAAACAGAACAACCTGCTCCTGAATGATTCCTGGGTAAATAACGAAATTAAGGCAGATATAAATAAGTTATTTGAAACTGATGAGAACAAAAACATAATGTACCAGAATCTCTGGGGCACAGCTAAAGCAGTGTTTAGATGGAAATTTATAGCACTAAATGCCCATAGGAGAAAACAGGAAAGAGCTAAAATCGACGCTCTAACATCACAATGGAAAGAACTAGAAAAGCAAGAGCAAACAAATTCAAAAGCTAGCAGGAGACAAGAAATAACAAAGATCAGAGCAGAACTGAAGGAGATAGAGACACAATAAAACCCTTCAAAAAATCAAAGAATCCAGGAGCTGGTTTTTTGAAAAGATTAACAAAATAGATAAACCTCTAGCCAGAATAATAAAGAATAAAAGAGAGAAGAATCAAATAGACATGATAAAAAATGTTAGAGGGGATATCACCACTGATCCCACAGAAATACAAACTACCATCAGAGAATACTATAAACACCTGTATACAAATGAACTAGAAAACCTAGAAGAAATGGATAAATTTCTGGACACGTACACCCTCCCAAGACTAAACCAGGAAGAAATCAAATCCCTGAATAGACCAATAACAAGTTCTGAAATTGAGGCAGTAATTAATAGCCTACCAACCAAAAAAGGCCCAGGACCAGACGGAATCACAGCCAAATTCTACCAGAAGTACAGAGAGGAGCTGGTACCATTTTTTCTGAAACTATTCCAAACAATAGAAGAAGAGAGACGCCTCACTAATTCATTTTATGAGGCCAGCATCATGTTGATACCAAAACCAGGCAGAGGCACGACAAAAAGGGAAAATTGCAGGCCAATATCTCTGATGAATATCAATGTGAAAATCATCAATAAAATACTGGCAAATCAAATCGAGCAGTACATCAAATAGCTTATCCACCACAATCAAGTCGACATCATCCCTGGGATGCAAGGCTGGTTCAACATACACAAATCAATAAATGTAATCCATCCCATAAACAGATCCAATGACAAAACCACATTATTATCTCAATAGATGCAGAAAATGCCTTTGATAAAATTCAGCACTGCTTCATGGTAAAAACTCTCAATAAACTAGGTATTGATGGAATGTATCTCAAAATAATAAGAGCTATTTATGACAAACCCACAGCCAATATCATACTGAATGGGCAAAAGCTGGAAGCATTCCCTTTGAAAACCAGCACAAGACAAGGATGCCCTCTCTCACAACTCCTATTCAACATAACATTGGAAGTTCTGGCCAGGACAATCAGGCAAGAGAAAGAAATAAAGGGCATTCAAATAGGAAGAGAGGAAGTCAAATTGTCTCTGTTTGCAGATAACATGATTGTATATTTAGAAAACCCCATTGTCTCAGCCCCAAATTTCCTTAAGCTGATAAGCAGCTTCAGCAAAGTCTCAAGATACAAAATCGATGTGCAAAAATCACAAGCATTGCTATACACCAATAAAAGACAAACAGCCAAATCATGAGGGAACTCCCATTCACAATTCCTACAAAGAGAATAAAATACCTAGGAATACAACTTACTAGGGATGTGAAGGACCTCGTCAAGAAGAACTGCAAACCACTGCTGATGGAAATGAGAGAGATCACAAACAAATGGAAGAACATTCCATGCTCATGGAAAGGAAGAATCAATATCGTGAAAATGGCCATACTGCCCAAAGTAATTTATAGATTCAGTGCTATCCCCATCAAGCTACCATTGACTTTCTTTACAGAATTAGAAATAAACTACTTTAAATTTCATATGGAACCAGAAAAGAGCCTGTATAGCCAAGATAATCCTTAGCAAAAAGAACAAAGTTGAAGGCATCACACTACCTGACTTCAAACTATGCTACAAGGCTACAGTAACCAAAACGGCATGGTGCTCGTACCAAAACAGATACATAGACCAATGGAACAGAACAGAGGCCTTAGACATAACTCCACACATCTACAACCATCTGATCTTCAACAAACCTGACAAAAACAAGCAATGGGAAAAGTATTCCCTATTTAATAAATTTTGTTGGGAAAACTGGCTAGCCATATGCAGAAAACTGAATCTGGACCCCTTCCTTACACTTTATACAAAAATTAACTCAAGATGAACTAAAGACTTAAATGTAAGACCTAAAACCATAAAAACCCTAGAAGAAAACCTAGGTAATATCATTCAGGACATAGGCATGAGCAAAGATTTCATGACAAAAACACCAAAAGCAATCTCAACAAATGCCAACATTGACACATGGGATCTAATTAAACTAAAGAGCTTCTGCACAGCAAAAGAAACTATCATCAGAGTGAACAAGCAGCCTACAGAATGGGAGAAAATTTTTGCAATCTATCCATCTGACAAAGGGCTAATATCCAGAATCTACAAAGAACTTAAACAAATTTATGAGAAAAAAAAAACATCAAAAAGTGGGCACAGGATATGAACAGACATTTCTCAAAAGAAGACATTTATATGTGGGGCCGGGCACAGTGGCTCACACCTGTAATCCCAGCACTTTGGGAGGCTGAGGCGGGCAGATCACCTGAGGTCAGGAGTTCAAGACCAGCCTTAACATGGAGAAACCCCATCTCTACTAAAAATACAAAATTAGCCAGGTGTGGTGGTGCATGCCTGTAATCTCAGCTATTCGGGAGGCTGACGCAGGATAATTGCTTGAACCTGGGAGGCGGAGGTTGCAGTGAGCTGAGATCATGCCATTGCACTCCAGCCTGGGCAACAAGAGCAAAACTCCATCTCAAATAAAAAAAAAAAAAAAAGACATTTATATGACCAACAAACACATAAAAAATGCTCATCATCACTGGTCATTAGAGAAATGCAAATCAAAACCACAGTGGGGTACCATCTCATGCCAGTTAGAATGGCGATCATTAAACAGTCAGGAAACAACAGTTGCTGGAGAGGATGTGGAGAAATAGGAATGCTTTTACACCGTTGGTGGGAGTATAAGTTGGTTTAACCATTATGGAAGAGAGTGTGGCTATTCCTCAAGGATCTAGAACCAGAAATACCACTTGACCCAGCAATCCCATTACTCGGTATATACCCAAAGGATTATAAATCATGCTATCATAAAGACACATGCATATGTATGTTTATTGCAGCACTGTTCACAATAGCAAAGACTTGGAACCAACCCAAATCTCCATCAATGATAGACTGGGTGAAGAAAATGTGGCACATATACACTATGGAATACTATGCAGCCATAAAAAAGGATGAGTTCATGTCTTTTGCAGGGACATGGATGAAGCTGGAAACCATCATTCTCAACAAACTAACACAGGAACAAAAAACCAAACATTGCATGTTCTTACGTGTAAGTGGGAGTTGAACAATGAGAACACATGGACACAGGGAGAGGAACATCACACACTGAGGCCTGTCCAGGGGTGGTGGGGGGCAAGGGGAGTGATAGCATCAGGAGAAATACCTAATGTAGATGACTAGTTGATGGGAGCTGCAAACCACCATGGCACATGTACACCTATGTAACAAACCTGCATGTTCTGCACATGTATCCCAGAACTTGAAGTATAATTAAAAAAAAAGAATTAAATTACACTTATATACCTTAAACCTGTACAAATTTAGAATTTTTTTAAAAGAACACTTTGCTAGCCTGACCTAACATTTTCTGCTACACGCTCCTTGGTCCTGGTTCACAATATCTGTTTTTTAAATGTTTTTATAGGTAATGATTATTGATTAGTATCTTGGTTGATATAGGTTGGCTTACTAATGTAGGAAAGACCACTTTGCATAATATGAAATCTGACTATTATTTTTCTCCAGTGAATTTTAAATTTTGTTATTATTTTTCTCTCTGATTTAAGATGTAAGCCATTTAAGAAGTAAGCTAATCTGGGGAAGGAGTGTCATATAGTTAGGACTCAATAAATGTTAACTGAATGAGTTAAGTAAATCATGAATTAATAAGTGAATGAAAGAGAAAATAATTGAAATTCATGGAATTTGAATTTATGAATGAATTAATTATATAGATTATTATATAGATAACTAAAAACATGTAGGTTAAGGTCCTGGGTTTTACATATTTAAGTTATTGAAATTCTCCTCTGGACTATGCCAACATTATTTATTATCACAATTACAGTGTAAGAAGTCCACTCCTTCTGAAGACAGATGCATCCAAGCCTCCATTCTCTCATTATGAATTCATCCATTCCACAAACATTTAGTGATTTTCTTAGTCAGTGCACATCTTAGATGAAGGAAATATGGTATGGCGAAATGTGTTAGACCCTGGGAAACAACAGTGTACAAGAAAAACCCATGCTCCTGGTCAATAACTACCACAAAAATTATTAGGACCACATAATTTTCCACTTAAGAACCTCTAGTGATTAAATTTGTTCAACTTACTTATCTTACTGAGACCCGGAAAGAGATATAACTAGTAGAGAATCTATATTCAATAGATTTGCAATCCCTAAAATATAAAACAAGGAAAACAGGATGAGGCACACATTATTAAGAAGAATCTTTAGGTTAGGGAATATGTGCAGTTAATCTCTTGTAAGATCCTTGGCAACTGGACAAAAAGCCTAAATAATAAACCATGAAAATTCACTTACATATATACTTATGCACATATTTCCCGTATAACTATTTTTTGCCCTGTTGACAAGATGTAAGGAGACAACAAGCAGAGAAGCATCAGGAGGAATCAGAAGATTAGGGAGGTGATCTCAGCTCTGTCCCTGACATGCTCTATGGACTTAAGCAAGTAGCAATATCTCTGTGTCTCAGGTGGCTCATCTATAAACAGAGAGGGCCTGCCGGGCATGGTGGTTCCGGCCTGTAATCCCAGAACTTTGGGAGGCTGAGGCAGGTGGATCACTTGAGGTCAGGAGTTCAAGACCAGCCTGGCCAACATGGCGAAACCCAGTCTCTAGTAAAAATACAAAAATTAGCTTGGCGTGGTGGTGCACACTTGAAATCCCAGCTACTTGGGAGGCTGAGGCAGGATAATTGCTTGAACCCAGGAGGCAGAGGTTGCAGTGAGCCGAGATCATGCCACTGCACTCCAGCCTGGGCAACAGAGCGAGACCCTGTCTAAAATATTTTAAAAATAAATGGAGAGGGCCAGAAGCAAAGATCTGAGAAATTCAGAGGAAAGCACCACTACTTTCTGGGGAGGGTTTTGTTGTTGTTATTTTGGGGAGGGGGAGAATCACTGACCCCAAACTAGGGAATGGCAGGTGTGAGTTCTGAAAGGTAGTCTCTCATTTTTCCGCAGGCCATGGAACTCTTTTTTTTTTTTTTTGAGTATTTTATTTTATTTTATTTATTTTTTTTCAGTAACATTTATTTATTTATTTATTATTATACTTTAAGTTTTAGGGTACATGTGCACATTGTGCAGGTTAGTTACATATGGATACATGTGCCATGCTGGTGTGCTGCACCCACTAACTCGTCATCTAGCATTAGGTATATCTCCCAGTGCTATCCCTCCCCCCCCCACCCCACCACAGTCCCCAGAGTGTGATATTCCCCTTCCTCTGTCCATGTGATCTCATTGTTCAATTCCCACCTATGAGTGAGAATATGCGGTGTTTGGTTTTTTGTTCTTGCGATAGTTTACTGAGAATGATGATTTCCAATTTCATCCATGTCCCTACAAAGGACATGAACTCATCATTTTTTATGGCTGCATAGTATTCCATGGTGTATATGTGCCACATGTTCTTAATCCAGTCTATCACTGTTGGACATTTGGGTTGGTTCCAAGTCTTTGCTATTGTGAATAATGCCACAATAAACATACGTGTGCATGTGTCTTTATAACAGCATGATTTATAGTCCTTTGGGTATATACCCAGTAATGGGATGGCTGGGTCAAATGGTATTTCTAGTTCTAGATCCTTGAGGTATCGCCACACTGACTTTCACAATGGTTGAACTAGTTTACAGTCCCACCAACGTGTAAAAGTGTTCCTATTTCTCCACATCCTCTCTAGCACCTGTTGTTTCCTGACTTTTTAATGATTGCCATTCTAACTGGTGTGAGATGGTAGCTCATTGTGGTTTTGATTTGCATTTCTCTGATGGCCAGTGATGATGAGCATTTTTTCACGTGTTTTTTGGCTGCATAAATGTCTTCTTTTGGGAAGTGTCTGTTCATGTCCTTCGCCCACTTTTTGATGGGGTTGTTTTTTTCTTGTAAATTTGTTTGAGTTCATTGTAGATTCTGGATATTAGCCTTTTGTCAGATGAGTAGGTCACAAAAATTTTCTCCCATTTTGTAGGTTGCCTGTTCACTCTGACGGTAGTTTCTTTTGCTGTGCAGAAGCTCTTTAGTTTAATTGGATCCCATTTGTCAATTTTGTCTTTTGTTGCCATTGCTTTTGGTGTTTTAGACATGAAGTCCTTGCCCATGCCTATGTCCTGAATGGTAATGCCTAGGTTTTCTTCTAGGGTTTTTATGGTTTTAGGTCTAACGTTTAAGTCTTTAATCCATCTTGAATTGATTTTTGTATAAGGTGTAAGGAAGAGATCCAGTTACAGCTTTCTACATATGGCTAGCCAGTTTTCCCAGCACCATTTATTAAATAGGGAATCCTTTCCCCGTTGTTGTTTTTCTCAGGTTTGTCAAAGATCAGATGGTTGTAGATATGCGGAGTTATTTCTGAGGGCTCTGTTCTGTTCCATTGACCTATATCTCTGTTTTGGTACCAGTACCATGCTGTTTTGGTTACTGTAGGCTTGTAGTATAGTTTGAAGTCAGGTAGCATGATGCCTCCAGCTTTGTTCTTTTGGCTTAGGATTGACTTGGCGATGCGGGCTCATTTTCGGTTCCATATGAACTTTAAAGTAGTTTTTTCCAATTCTGTGAAGAAAGGCATTGGTAGCTTGATGGGGATGGCATTGAATCTGTAAATTACCTTGGGCAGTATGGCCATGTTCACGATATTGATTCTTCCTACCCATGAGCCTGGAATGTTCTTCCATTTCTTTGTATCCTCTTTTATTTCCTTGAGCAGTGGTTTGTAGTTCTCCTTGAAGAGGTCCTTCACATCCTTTGTAAGTTGGATTCCTAGGTATTTTATTCTCTTTGAAGCAATTGTGAATGGGAGTTCACTCATGATTTGGCTCTCTGTTTGTCTGTTATTGGTGTATAAGAATGCTTGTGATATTTGGACATTGATTTTGTATACTGAGACTTTGCTGAGGTCGCTTATCAGCTTAAGGAGATTTTGGGCTGAGACAATGGGGTTTTCTAGATATATAATCATATCGTCTGCAAACAGGGACAATTTGACTTCCTCTTTTCCTAATTGAATACCCTTTATTTCCTTCTCTTGCCTAATTGCCCTGGCCAGAACTTCCAACACTATGTTGAATAGGAGTGGTAAGAGAGGGCATCCCTGTCTTGTGCCACGTTTCAAAGGGAATGTTTCCAGTTTTTGCCCATTCAGTATGATATTGGCTGTGGGTTTGTCATAGATAGCTCTTATTATTTTGAGATATGTCCCATCAACACCTAATTTATTGAGAGTTTTTAGCATGAAGGGTTGTTGAATTTTGTCAAAGGCTTTTTCTGCATCTATTGAGATAATCATGTTGTTTTTGTCTTTGGCTCTGTTTATATGCTGGATTACATTTATTGATTTGCATATATTGAACCAGCCTTGCATACCAGGGATGAAGCCCCCTTGATCATGGTGGATAAGCTTTTTGATGTGCTGCTGGATTCGTTTTGCCAGTATTTTATTGAGGATTTTTGTATCAATGTTCATCAAGGACATTGGTCTAAAATTTTCTTTGTTCGTTGTGTCTCTGCCCAGCTTTGGTATCAGGATGATGCTGGCCTCATAAAATGAGTTAGGGAGGATTCCCTCTTTTTCTGTTGATTGGAATAGTTTCAGAAGGAATGGTACCAGTTCCTCCTTGTACCTCTGGTAGAATTCAGCTGTGAATCCATCTGGTCCTGGACTCTTTTTGGTTGGTAAACTATTGATTATTGCCACAATTTCAGATCCTGTTATTGGTCTATTCAGAGATTCAACTTCTCTCTGGTTTTGTCTTGGGAGAGTGTATGTGTTGAGGAATTTATCCATTTCTTCCAGATTTTCTAGTTTATTTGCGTAGAGGTGTTTGTAGTATTCTCTGATGGTAGTTTGTATTTCTGTGGGATCAGTGGTGATATCCCCTTTATCATTTTTTATTGTGTCTATTTGATTCTTCTCTCTTTTTTTCTTTATTAGTCTTGTTAGCGGTCTATCAATTTTGTTGATCCCCCTGGATTCATTAATTTTTTGAAGGGTTTTTTGTGTCTCTATTTCCTTCAGTTCTGCTCTGATTTTAGTTATTTCTTGCCTTCTGCTAGCTTTTGAATGTGTTTGCTCTTGCTTTTCTAGTTCTTTTAATTGTGATGTTAGGGTGTGAAGTTTGGATCTTTCCTGCTTTCTCTTGTGGTCATTTAGTGCTATAAATTTCCCTCTACACACTGCTTTGAATGTGTCCCAGAGATTCTGGTATGGTGTGTCTTTGTTCTCATTGGTTTCAAACAACATCTTTATTTCTGCCTTCATTTCATTATGTACCCATTAGTCATTCAGGAGCAGCTTGTTCAGTTTCCATGTAGTTGAGCAGTTTTGAGTGAGATTCTTAATCCTGAGTTCTAGTTTGATTGCACTGTGGTCTGAGAGATAGTTTGTTATAATTTCTGTTCTTTCACATTTGCTGAGGAGAGCTTTACTTCCAACTATGTGGTCAATTTTGGAATAGGTGTGGTGTGGTGCTGAAAAAAATGTATATTCTCTTGATTTGGGGTGGAGAGTTCTGTAGATGTCTATTAGGTCCGCTTGGTGCAGAGCTGAGTTCAATTGCTGGGTATCCTTGTTGACTTTCTGTCTCGTTGATCTGTCTAACATTGACAGTGGGGTGTTAAAGTCTCGCATTATTAATGTGTGGGAGTCGAAGTCTCTTTGTAGGTCACTAAGCACTTGCTTTATGAATCTGGGTGCTCCTGTATTGGGTGCATATATATTTCGGATAGTTAGCTCTTCTTGTTGAATTGATCCTTTTACCATTATGTAATGGCCTTCTTTGTCTCTTTTGATCTTTGTTGGTTTAAAGTCTGTTTTATCAGAGACTAGGATTGCAACCCCTGCCTTTTTTTGTTTTCCATTTGCTTGGTAGATCTTCCTCCATCCTTTTATTTTGAGCCTATGTGTGTCTCTGCACGTGAGATGGGTTTCCTGAATACAGCACACTGATGGGTCTTGTCTCTTTATCCAATTTGCCAGTCTGTGTCTTTTAATTGGAGCATTTAGTCCATTTACATTTAAAGTTAATATTGTTATGTGTGAATTTGATCCTGTCATGATGATGTTAGCTGGTTATTTTGCTCGTTAGTTGATGCAGTTTCTTCCTAGTCTCGATGGTCTTTACATTTTGGCATGATTTTGCAGCGGCTGGTACCAGTTTTTCCTTTCCATGTTTAGCGCTTCCTTCAGGAGCTCTTTTAGGGCAGGCCTGGTGTTGACAAAATCTCTCAGCATTTGCTTGTCTGTAAAGTATTTTATTTCTCCTTCACTTATGAAGCTTAGTTTGGCTGGATATGAAATTCTGGGTTGAAAATTCTTTTCTCTAAGAATGTTGAATATTGGCCCCCACGCTCTTCTGGCTTGTAGGGTTTCTGCCAAGAAATCCGCTGTTAGTCTGATGGGCTTCCCTTTGAGGGTAAGCCGACCTTTCTCCCTGGCTGCCCTTAACATTTTTTCCTTCATTTCAACTTTGGTGAATCTGACAATTATGTGTCTTGGAGTTGCTCTTCTCGAGGAGTAACTTTGTGGCATTCTCTGTATTTCCTGAATCTGAACATTGGCCTGCCTTGCTAGATTGGGGAAGTTCTCCTGGATAATATCCTGCAGAGTGTTTTCCAACTTGGTTCCATTCTCCCCATCACTTTCAGGTACACCAATCAGATGTAGATTTGGTCTTTTCACATAGTCCCATATTTCTTGGAGGCTTTGCTCATTTCTTTTTATTCTTTTTTCTCTAAACTTCCCTTCTCGCTTCATTTCATTCATTTCATCTTCCATTGCTGATACCCTTTCTTCCAGTTGATCTCATCGGCTCCTGAGGCTTCTGCATTCTTCACGTAGTTCTCAAGCCTTGGTTTTCAGCTCCATCAGCTCCTTTAAGCACTTCTCTGTATTGGTTATTCTAGTTATACATTCTTCTAAATTTTTTTCAAAGTTTTCAACTTCTCTGCCTTTGGTTTAAATGTCCTCCCATAGCTCAGAGTTAATTTGATCGTCTGAATCCTTCTTCTCTCAGCTCGTCAAAGTCATTCTCCATCCAGCTTTGTTCCATTGCTGGTGAGGAACTGCGTTCCTTTGGAGGAGGAGAGGTGCTCTGCTTTTTAGAGTTTCCAGTTTTTCTGTTCTGTTTTTTCCCCATCTTTGTGGTTTTATCTACTTTTGGTCTTTGATGATGGTGATGTACAGATGGGTTTTTGGTGTGGATGTCCTTTCTGTTTGTTAGTTTCCCTTCTAACATACAGGACCCTCAGCTGCAGGTCTGTTGGAATACCCTGCCGTGTGAGGTTCAGTGTGCCCCTGCTGGGGGGTGCCTCCCAGTTAGGCTGCTCGGGGGTCAGGGGTCAGGGACCTACTTGAGGAGGCAGTCTGCCCTTTCTCAGATCTCCAGCTGGGTGCTTGGAGAACCACTACTCTCTTCAAAGCTGTCAGACAGGGACATTTAAGTCTGCAGAGGTTACTGCTGTCTTTTTGTTTGTCTGTGCCCTGCCCCCAGAGGTGGAGCCTACAGAGGCAGGCAGGCCTCCTTGAGCTGTGGTGGGCTCCACCCAGTTCGAGCTTCCAGGCTGCTTTGTTTACCTAAGCAAGCCTGGGCAATGGTGGGCGCCCCTCCCCCAGCCTCGCTACCGCCTTGCAGTTTGATCTCAGACTGCTGTGCTAGCAATCAGTGAGACTCCGTGTGTGTAGGACCCTCCCAGCCAGGTGCAGGATATAATCTCGTGGTGCACCGGTTTTTAAGCCGGTCAGAAAAGCGCAGTATTCTGGTGGGAGTGACCCGATTTTCCAGGTGCGTCCATCACCCCTTTCTTTGACTGGGAAAGGGAACTCCCTGACCCCTTGAGCTTCCCAAGTGAGGCAATGCCTCGCCCTGCTTCGGCTCGCACATGGTGCACACACCCACTGACCTGCACCCACTGTCTGGCACTCCCTAGTGAGATGAACCTGGTACCTCAGATGCAAATGCAGAAATCACCCGTCTTCTGCGTCGCTCACGCTGGGAGCTGTAGACCGGAGCTGTTCCTATTCGGCCATCTTGGCTCCTTCCCCCCGGAACTCTTAATCCAGGTATAATTGTGACCACTTTTAGATGTCACTGGAAAACCAAGTCACATGAAATAATCCGCTGAACTTTGCATTTCTTTTAAATACTTGATAGAAATTTTCTTCTCTTATTTTTTCTATTTCTGTTTTTCCTCTGGCATGTTAGAAGCCACCCACTTGGCTACACATCTTGGGGAAGGAGGGGGGAAAAGCTCTGGAGTCCATTAGCAATTTTTTTAAACCATGGAAACCCCATAAGGCATTGATTGGCAGCAATGTGACTGCTTTTTGCTGTAGCTGCTAATTGATGTTGTTACTTCAAAAGGTGAGTACAGACAGCAAAGGAATTCAAAGCAGAAAAGTAACAGACAGTGATATGTATTTAAAAACGTCTTAGAGTTTGGGGTTCTCAGGGAGAAGGGATGCAGGACATGAAGCAAGAAAGGGTCCTAGAGACCCTGGGTCCTTTTCAGCCACTCCAAAATTACCCAGAAAAGAGGAAATGAACAGAAGAGAGGGAATTAACTTTTGATATCATTAGAGCATGTTAACTTTGTCAAATATCTCAGTATAAATTCTTTATGAGCATCAGTAGCTAAGGTCAAATTCATCTGTTCATTTATTTATTCATTTACCAAATTGTCACTGAAAACTTGCTATGTGCCAGGTATTGTACTGAGTGCTGGGTATTTAGTAGTGAGGAAAATAGCCCTGGCACTTCTGGAGTTTAGCAATGTAGCTTATGACTTCCCTCTTTATTATTTTAAAAACCATTTTCTGGGATAGGCAAGATGGGGTTATTGCCAAGCAGGGCCAGAGGCAAATATTGTGTGCAAGTGGATCTATATGGAAGTTCATCCCAGAAATCCCAGTGAGGGGATGGGAGAGTGAGACAAGAAAGGGAGGTAAGCTAAGAAGTGGCTTTTAAATGAGTACATCATTAGTGTGGGCAAATGGGGCTCAGTCCTCTGGGGAGGACCCTCTGAGACCCTCTGAGAGACTTTGTAGAACACATCTCAGAATTGAAAATACCTGAGATAGACTGGGCACAGTGGCTCATGCCTGTAATCCCAGCACTTTGGGAGGCTGAGGCAGGTGGATCACTTGAGGTCAGGAGTTTGAGACCAGCCTGATCAACATCGTGAAACCCTCATCTCTACTAAAAATACAAAATTAGCCAGGCATGGTGGTGCGTGCCTGTAATCCCAGCTACTTGGGAGGCTGAGGCAGGAGAATCACTTGAACCCAGGAGGCAGAGGTTGCAGTGAGCCGAGCTGGCACCATTGCACTCCAGCCTAGGCAGTAAGAGTGAGACTCATCCACCAATTCCTGTCCCCCATTGGTTGCAGTTGCTTGTGAGTCATGAATTCTCTGGCACTTTTAGTAAACCTTGCATGCTGCCGTGTGCAGAGAACATTCTCAGGGAGAGAGATACAGGAAGCCATAAGAGTATCCAGGAACTATTTGGCAAGACTCAAGAACACATATGCAGGGTACCACCTACCACAAAGATTATGCCCATTTTATAGGAAAGAAAACTGAGGCTTGAGAGGTTACCCAGCTAGTAAGTATTAGAGTTCAGACTAGAAACTAATACTCTTTTACTGCACCCCAATCCTAAAACAGGAAGCCGACCTTTGAAACATGCTTCCCGTCTCTACCAGTCCCAGATGGAAAGGCTTGGCTGTAAGCCTCTAAATGACAAAGGAGCAATATCTCTGAAGACAGCTGAAGATAGGTTGGATTTTTGGTCCAGAAGTTAGGCTGACATCAGATGGGACCTCATAGGCTTTCATACCAAGTCCTTTCTTCTCCATGATGTCTGAGTGAGCAGACCTGGGTTCTGAGCCCTTTGTCAGCATGGAATGAGCCTGGGAGCAAAGAATAAGCAAACTTTCTTTTTCATTCTGAAGGCTTATAAAGCCTAACTGGAAGACTGCAATGTTAAAAACAGCTTAGTGTCGTGGAGATTCATTAAGTGTCAAGTGGCTGGGTCTAGTTTTGGCTTGCCTGTGCAAGCCACTTCACCTCCAAGGAGCAAGGATCCACTTCATTTTTATAAACATGAAATATCTATCTCACAGGATTGTTGTTCAGATTGCCATGTGATTAAATGACATACTATGTGTGTCTTAGCCTGGGTTTACTAGACAATAGGGCCTGAAGAACAGCGTATGTGCTGACACATACTTAACATGCTAACCCATTACTGAGAGTGGGAGAAAAACACAGCTGAGTGCCTCAGAACAGTCTGGATGATAGAGGAAGAGTGAGCAGTGTATCTGCTGGCCCCCTGTCTGTCTCGAGTCTCCCACTGGTAGAAGGTTGCCCCTTTGGAAGTTAACTCCCCATATTTCTGGGTTGTTTCACCAGCCCTCCTGGCAGCTACTGGGGAAACAGAGCGGTCATTTGTCCAGGGTGGAGGGATAGAGCCTGGTTCATGAGCCCCTGTGATCGTCACCCTTAGGAGACTGTGAGGACCAGCCATGTCAGAGACAAAGCAATGGTGGATGTGGTCAGGGCTTGAGGACCGTTAGGCCTTTATAGGAAAAGCTTGCTCGCCCCTGTATGCTTGGAGAAAGTCCAGAAGCTGCAATAAAAAGTTTAGATGAACAGAAAAAGATTTTACTTGAGTGCCCTCTTTCCACCCCTCCTTCTCTCTAATAAAAATAAAATCTAGTTATTGAGATGTCATATTAAATGTAAAAGAATGGAACCAAGTTAAATGCCTAATAATTGAGATGGTATTAAATGCATAATATTTAATGTGTATACATTAAACAATATATATGGATCTAGTATATACTAAACAATGTATATGCATTTAATATATACATTAAACAGTATACGCATTTACTATACACATTAAAAATGTATATGTATTTAGCATATACTTTCAAAATGTATATTCATTTAGTATATACATGAAAAATGTCTATATAATTATAACATTTTTTAAAATGTAGAAGGAAACATCAGCTAACACTAGACCCAGAAGTTATCAATGTTCAAGTGATAGAATTTTGGTTCATTTTGATTTTCTGCCTTATGCCTAGTTGTCAATTTATTTATTTATTTACAACGTCAGTTTATTTATTTATTTATTTATTTATTTACAATGTACTGGCCTTTTTGGTTAACAAAAACACTATTTTTCCCCTGCAGGACTAAGTATAAAAGAAAAAAAAATAAAGAAAAAAGATGAAAATATTTAAAAATATATAGAACCTTTCATAATGGTAAAAAATAGAGTCCAGTAAACTGTTTATGTGAAGAGGGTGGTTGGTTAAGGAATCCGACTTCTTTCTCCTAAATATCTCCCTTTCTGGCACCTTCTCCATTAGATTATTATAATCTCCACTACACTGGGCCCCATAAAACAAGGAGGGAGCCTCATTCCTCCTTAAAAACTTCAAATGCATGAATTGAAACAACTTTTCTTGTTTTCCTTTGCTCAGCTGAAACAGGCTGACATTTTCAAAAGAACTTTAATACTCAGAGAACAAAAAAGCAATAATTACAGAAAATACAAAAGGTGTAGTAGTTAACATGTTTAAAATACAAGCTTCTAGTCCTCTAAAGGGACTGGCTAGTTCCTTGTAGAAAGGGAAGCAGCACAGGTGGCCCCTCCTGGAGGCTTGCCTAGTTTCCCTGAAGTTGGCACCACTGAATTTCTGCCACCTGGAATTGGTCATAGGGCAAGTAGTCCCCTATTAGTCAAGAGTAAAATATCACTTGCCAAAGCTCTACCTATCTGAGGCTTTTTCATTTCGTTCTCATCCAGGTGAAGTTATGGTTCATCCAGGGATTACTGAGAAGATGAGAAACCTCACCTTTGCCAATTTAGCAAGACCTCACACCATAGACACATACATGCACACACACACACACACAGACACACACACACAGACACAGACACACACACACACTCTACGCTTGCAGAGAAGTGGCCAAGTTAAAGTCCATTCATTACTGAAACACAGTGTGAAAGTTCATGACATGCCCATATGTCAAAAACTGGATATATACAGTGACAGAATATATTCAGGGTTCTTCACCTTAATGTACGAGCTAGAAATCCAGGAGACATCAAAATCCATAGCCTCTCAATCTTACTTTTTCCCTGCCTATGCTGTTGAATCTTCCTATGATACCACTGCCCATTTCCTTGCTTCCAAGAAATGTTCTCCGTATACCCTAAGAAGTGATTCCTCTCCCTATGGACACAGTGAAATCTTGCCTACATCTCCCTTGTAGCTTGTACCATAAATCTGATCCATGCTGAAACTAATTTTGTTCCTGTCTTTTGTCTCTGTAAGCAGCTTCAGGGGAGGGATTATTTTTTCATCGTTGTATCCTCTATACAGGTTTTAGAAGTATCTTATATGTGGAAGAGTTGTTGAATAATAAGTGTATTTTAGTAATTACAGAAAAGATCTAAAGAGATCAATCTAGGATTGATAGGTAGAAGTTACTAGGAGATCAATTTATACTATGCTTAAAAAAGAACTTTCTTAGTCTAGGCCAGGTGTGGTGGCTCACGCCTGTAATCCCAACACTTTGGGAGGCCAAGGTGGATGGATCACGAGGTCAAAAGAGTGAGACCATCCTGGCCAACATGGTGAAACCTTGTCTCTACTAAAAACACAAAAAATTAACCAGCAAGGTGGCAGGAATGTGTAGTCCCAGCTACTCGGGAGGCTGAGGCAGGAGAATCACTTGAATCTGGGAGGTGGAGGTTGCAGTGAGCTGATATTGTGCCACTGCACTCCAGCCTGGTGACAGAGTGAGACTCTGTCTAAAAAAAAAAAAAAAAAAAAAAGAACTTTCTCAGTCTATACTGCATAATATTGCAATGGGCTGTTCTGGAAAATACCACTGAATGTATTCTAGGACTGCTTTGGGGGAATATCATAAAAGGGATTCAGGCAAGAGATGAAGGATTAAACTACATATCCTCTAAAATTCCTACCAGATTTATCATCCCAATACCTCTAAGTTCAAATGGAGGCAAGAAATCTCACTGGAATACGTTTTTATCATCTGCTAAGGCCGTCAAATGAGCTAGGCTATTTCTGCATCATGCATATCCATCATTATCTGTTTTTCTGTTTCCTACCTAGCCCTCCTTTCTCGACTATATCTGTTAGGCTATATTAAATTTCATTGTAAGAGTTAAAAAAGCATTACCAGCCCATTGAAGAGTAACTGACATCTCTTGAAAATCCATGACATATGTGTATATGTTTTATTTGGGGATAATTTGGTTCTGAGTTAATACATTTGCTATGTTTCTCTGCCCATTCTTCCCTTAAAAGGCTCATTTCCTGAAACTGGGCCTTGGTTTCTGAGCATTGCCTTGTTCTACTGCTTAGCCTACCTGTGTTACTGAAATCTTTTCGCAGCATCCAAATTACTTTCTCTGAACCCAATTTATACAGTGACAGATGGGGGATTCCAAAAGGGAAAGTTTCCATTCATATCCAGCAAATCATCTTTGTGGGAAGAAAGACGCAAACTTGGTGATGTACACAGAAATTTTACTTCTGGAAAGCCTCATCTTTTATTTTTTAATTATTTCTCTCCAAAGTAGCTGGGCCCAGAATAAGTTCATATCTTACTATTTCCAGACATTCAAATGACCATCAGTGAATGAATGATGATGAATTTACCTCACTAAGTAATATTACACAATTGGTTTTCATTTTCTTCCTATCTCACTTTTTGAATGTGTTTACCATTCATGTCTCAAGCACTAGTTGATAAGGACATAATTCATTTCAAAAAATTAACTGCCCAATTTCTGATTTTTTCTCTTTTTAAGAAAATACTTGTTTATGGAGTGACTTTTGTTTCCAACCATTGTATATATGAAAATTTTAACTTAAATGATTTATTGTTAGTTCAATGTCCTTGTATGTTAACCTATTTTTTTAAATTTATTTTTTGTTGTTTTTAACAAGTACAGCATGATGTTTTGTCTGTTGTTTGACATGAACATGAGGAGAATCGTAAGTTTAAAAATGCCTTGAACAAAGTGTAACACAGCATATGTTAAAACTCTATGGAAAAGTAGCTCCTGGGAATACAACATGGCTGCTGAGGAGTGGAAACTGAGGCTCAGAGAGGGTAAGTGATTTGAACAGAATGACACAGGAAGTTGGTGAACAGTAATAATAATGATTGCAATTTTTATTGTGCATTCATGATGTTCCAGGCACTCTTCTAAATGTTTTTCATTATCTACTAATTTAATTCAATAAGCAATTTTATGGGTTTATTAATAACAGATGAGAAAAAACAAGGTATAGAAAAGTTAAATATTTTGCACAAGGTTACAAAGCTAGTAAGTGATGGAGGCAGGATTTCAACTCAGACAGAATGGTTCCCAAACTTTGCTCTTACACATTATGTTGCTTTTTTTGTCAGAAATACGTGGACTCACTTTATGCATAGTCTATAAATGTCTGCATATACATAGGAGAGAAACACACACACACACATACACACACGCATCTAGCCTACATGTACATTGTTCTCTTTCGTTTGCAAAGCTCTGCCTCTAAACAGGGAAAGGATGACTAACAGTTCCTTCTGGTTGCTTGATTACCGTAATACAAATTCCTACAAATGGGAAACCATTGCCCTAGCTAATCTTAACTTCCCTACATCAGTAGCTATTTCAAGAAAAAGCTATTCCCATCTGTTATAGAAACATATTCAGTGACAGCACACATCTCCTTATCCTAGTACCATCCCATTTCAGTGCAATGGTGAAAACAGCCTGATTTTCTTCTTTAATTCTGGAAAGCCTCTCTAAGCCAAAACCTGTGAAGAAACTCAGTACTTTCTTGGTTGTAATCTATAAAAAATGACTATAACCTTTGTAGCTCCTTCTAAATTCACCTGAATAATCAGCTGTATGTAAAAATCAAATCTTTTTTTGTGTTTTTCTCAGAATATAATGGACACATATTCCTTTTTCTCTACTCAGCATGTTTTTCCTTTGGGGGATGTTCCATCCTCATCTGGTGGATTGTCATTCATATAATCCCATCTCATTTGTGGTAGAGATGGATTCATGGACCAAGATGGCTAATCAGCAGGTCCTACTTGCTTGTATGGTGAGACTGTTCAGAGATAGGTGGATAGGTGCATGACCAAAAGTAAGACAAAGAGTTTTGCACTGGACTTTTGCTTAAGCCATTGAGAAAGAGAATTATCTTGAGTACAGTTCTCCTTCATTTGCAGAAGGACTGATTACAGAACTCCCAAAGATACCAAAAATCCACAGATGCTCGAGTCCCTTATAAAAAGTGGTGTGGTATTTGCATATAATCTACACCTACCCTCCTACATACTTTAAATCATCTCTAGACTACTTATACTCCCAAACATAATATAAATGTTATGCAAATAATTGTTATACTATATTTTATTGGTATTTTAATTGTCATATTATTATTTTTTATGTTTTTTTCCTGAATATTTTAAAACTGTGGTTGGTGAAAACTGTGGTTGCAGAACCACTTGGTAGATTATATTTCTAGGTAGGAAGATAATGGGATTTCTGAGAGCCTTCACTGGCACGTGAAATGAGTCTGCCTGAGACTTAAGGCAAAAAAGGGCCGGGTGCGGTGGCTCACGCCTGTAATCTCAGCACTTTGGGAGGCTGAGGCAGGTGGATCACCTGAGGTCAGGAGTTTAAGACGAGCCTGGAAAACAAGGTGAAACCCCACTCCAAAATTAGCTGAGCGTGATGGTGCATGCCTGTAATCTTAGCTACTCAGGAGGCTGGGGCAGGAGAATCGCCTGAACCTGGGAGGCGAAGGTTGCAGTGAGCCGAAGTTGTGCCACTGCACTCCAGCCTGGGCAACAGAGTGAGACTTTGTCTCAAAAAAAAAAAAAAAAAAAAAAAAAAGTCCAAGAAAGGGAGAGAAGAGGTAAAACCTTAAGCTCTTGAATTGAACCACATCTGGAGGTAGGATCTAATTTTGTGTTGTCAATTGTGCAAGCTTAAGCAAAAGCAGAGGTTCTGTCATTTGCATCCAAAAGAGTCCTGATACATTAACTCCTAGAACCCAAGAATTAGAAAGGATCTTAATAATGTAATCTCTCGCCAGGTAAATAATGCCATATGTTACACTTCTGTCATTGGTTATGATGTAGGCTTTGTCTCCTTGTGAATTCCTCCAGCGACGGGAGGTCTGTTACTACAGTTTGCAGTTCATTTCACTATTGGCCAACTATAGTTTCCAGAGAGTTAAGTTTTCCTAATATCAAATAAATTGCCTTCTTAAACCAGCCCTTCACTAATCTTACCGATGCTCTCTGGAGCTTCACAGAAAAGTCAACTTGCTTCTTTAAAATAATTGAAGACAGTTATCTTGTCTCATTTCTTTCAAACATTCCTTCAGCTTTATTCAAAAGTTAACAGACTGCTCTGTTCTTCACCCTGCCCACGTATGGTTTATAAATATTCTAGTTCTATGGACCCCCTAAACCTTCCATTCAACTCTCTCAGAAGCTACCTGGGAGAAGGCCAGGGAGGCTATTGTTCACAACCCCACATCCTTTAGCTCTTTATGTTTATTTGTTTATGTTTCTGTACACTGCTTCATTTGAAAGGAAGGATTGGATAGCCACTATCCAATCCTTAAATGATTGTCTAATGCCAGAATTAATTGGAGTATGAAAAAATCTCTCTGGGTGCGGGTTGATATGCTCAAAGTTCATTTATATTATCTGTTGTGATGCAGAAGCTGCGCTTTCACTGAGGAAGCCTATAACAGCTTTTGGCTCTGGGAAGCTTGCAATCTACTGAAATTTCTAGATCTTTTATTGCATAAACAGCTACCAAGCCTGAATATTTATGTGTTTCCAATTAAAATATAGTAATATAAAAATGTGAAAAATAATCTTGAGATTTGAGAGTTTTAACTACATTTCATGCTAACATTAATATACTTTATATAAAATTGAGCTATAATATTTTCCAAAAGTCACAAATGTAATCCCTTATAGTAAGCAGTCAATCAACTCAGTGGTGCTTAAAGAAAAGCTGTAATAACTGCCTCAGTGCCTCTAATTCTACCCTCTTGACTGAACCAATATGAACTGTCTGATTTGTATTCTCCCATACCAATCTATACATTCATACACATACACACATATATCAACTTACTCTTATGAGTATCTTTAAAATAATATATTTATTCATGGATTAGACAAATGCTTATGGAGTGATTATCTTTCATCAGGCACTGTTCTATGCATAGGGAATACAGAGTGAACAAAACTCTGGCCTTCATGGAAGCTATATTCTAATGATGAGGAGAGAGACAATAGACAATATCATTGAGTAAAATGCATGATATTATTAGACACATTAAGTGAGAAAGCAAGATAGTGAGAGGTGAAGCCAGCTGGACTTCCTGGGTCAAGTGGGGACTTGGAGAACTTTTCTGTCTAGCTAAAGGATTGTAAATGCACCAATCAGCCCTCTCTAAAAACACACCAATCAGCACTCTGTGTCTAGCTAAAGGATTGTAAATGCACCAATCAGCACTCTGTAAAAATGCACCAATCAGCACTCTGTGTCTAGCTAAAGGATTGTAAACCAATCAGCACTCTGTAAAATGGACCAATCAGTGCTCTGTAAAATGAACCTTTCAGCAGGATGTGGGCAGGGACAAATAAGGGAATAAAAGCTGGCCACCCTAGCCAGCAGTGGCAACCCACTCGAAGCTTCGTTCTTTCACGCTTCACAATAAATCTTGCTGCTGCTCACTGTTTGGGTCCATGCCACCTTTAAGAGCTGTAACACTCACCACAAGGTCTGTGGCTTCATTCTTGAAGTCAGCGAGACCAAGAACCCACTGGAAGGAGCCAACTCTGGACACAATAGGAAAGGGTGATTAGAAATATTAGGAGGTTGCATTTTAGTTAGTGTAGCCATTGAGGATTTTTGTGTGAAGGGTCAGTCACATTTAGAGAAAGGAAAGAGTTAAGTACTACATTCCTGAGACAGGGTGGTCCTCGTGTGCTCAAAGAATGGCAAGTTGCCCAGCTCTGCTGGAGCAAGATGATGGGGGAGATTGTAGAAAGAGGGAACATTAGAGGAGTGTCAGTGTCAGTCTCTGTAGGACCTTAAAGTTCTTTGTAAAAACTTTGGATTTTGTTCTAAAATAGAATGAATGATTTTGATCCAAGGACTAACATCTGGCTGCCTTGCTGAGAATAGACTGAAGGATGTCAAGTGCATAAAGGGAGGCTAGTTAGAAGGCCATTGTAATAATCTAGGTGAACGGTGCAGGTACAGGCAGGTGGAAGTGGGTATGGTATAAAGTGGTGGAATTCTGGTTGTATTTTCAAGATTGAGTCCTCAATATACTGAGGGACCAAAATGGAGAGCCAAGGGTGATACCAAGGCTTTTAGCCCCCAAACTGGAGGAATAGAGTCGCTGTAGCTTAAATAAGACAGCAGAATGAGTAGGTGTTTCCAGGAGAGAGACCAGAAGTCAAATTTTAGGCATGTTTAACTTGGATATGCCAATTGGACATTATTTTAATAAATGTGTCATATTCCATAACATGAATATAACATTATTTAACTTGTTGCTAAAATTCAGGATGTTAACAGCCTTTTGCAAGTATAAACCTCACTGCGATTTTTCCAAGGCTGGATTCTTACTGGTACATTCTCAGGATAAATGCCACCTATTGCTCAGAGGTGCCCTTTCTTGCCTACCTACTCTGAAGTTACAAGTTATCACAATGCCCCGTTTAGAGTCACTCTACAGCACTTATCTCTGCTTACTATTTTTCTTTACGTGTTTATTTTTCAGTTTTTCTCCCTTAGAATATAAGTACTGTAAGACGAGGGCCCTGTTTGCCATTTGTGATTGGCACAGAATAGGTACTTAATAAATATTCAAAGAATAAAAACCAGGTACACAAGTCCTCATGCATGGGTGCTTTTGTTTCTGTAGGATAGATTTCCAAAAAGTGGTATTGCTGTGTCAAATTTTATTTTTAATTTTACTGATATTGGCAGACTAAATTCCTAAAAGATCATAACAATCAGTTCTCCCACGGACAATGGAATGTATGAAAGCAGCATTTCCATATGTCAGTCTAAGTACTGGGTGATTTTATCCTTTGATTTTTTTTTCTCAAATCTACTTTTTTTAAAAAAAATCAAATGTATCTGCTTTTAACAGCTCTAAGTAGCTTAAGTAATTAACATATAATTAATGAACTCCTGAGTAAGGCAGCAAAAATTCCCTTAGGTCTCTTTTTGAGATTGTCTTAAAAGACTGTAATCACTTTCACCTTCTAGTATTATTTGATGTTGTGAGTATAGGTAGGTTTATCAAGGATAGATTTAACTCCTCAGTCCATTTCCCTTTAGTGCCTGGAAACTTGAAACCATTAAGAGAGTAAGGCTCTTCCCGTTATAACACCTGATGGATTTTTTCAGAGAGATTTATGAGATGAAGTTCTGTAAAGCTGTATTTTAAAATTCATGCATGTTGAATCATCTCAGGAGAGCAATGTGAATAATGGTATAATTGGTATAAAAAAATGTTAGGTCCATGTTGAAAATAATTTATTTCTTTATAAAATCTATGAGGTTGTGCAGCCTTCGGGCTGAAACAGATTGTATGCATCTTCATTCAGGAAAAGTAGACACTGATTTTTCCCCACTTCAAATGGCCTTTTCAAGATGTTCACCCATATCATTCATCCATGAGGAAGCTTTTTGTTGTTGTTGCTCCTTGACTGCCATTTGCCCTTAATTTTCTGGTTTGAATCTCTTGTTTACATCCAGCTGTAATATTTTCTTCCCACTCTAAGAGTCAGAATGTGTTTAAAGTAACACCACACAAAGTCTGAGATTCTGAGTTCAGGTGCCTCTTCCACTCTGAACCTGTGGGGTGTTAACCAAGCTCTACAGTCTCATTGTTGCAATTTATCAGCATAAACATTTTGGTTATAAAGTTGTCTGTCAGCTAGATGGATGGACTTGTAGCATTAACGTCATAGTACCTTAAAATCCCAACATTTGACTAGAAAGAAATGTTATGTAAAAATCTCCTTGTTGACAAATCAGTTCAGCAACAGCATTTGTTGAGATCCTTCTGGAAACCAGTCACTGTGTAAGATCTGTTCCCAATCTCTCAGCCACAATTCCAAATCTAGAAAGCTTCAATAACAGCAAGACCTGATCTGAAATTACTTGATGGAAAACCTGACCTGAACTGACTTGAGGCTATTTATAGTCTCTATTTATTCCACTTTAAATAAATAGTCATATCTTTCTCTGCAGAGATATTAATGTGCATGTGTATGAGGTGTTGTCTAGACCCTACTGGAGGCGATAAGTAATACAAAGTTTATGCAGCAATATTACCTTTCAAATGCCAAAATAATTGAAATTCTGAAACCCAGGGATTTGGGGTAAAAGCTTGTGGACTTGTGGGTAAATCTATATGAATACTGACTATATAAACAATTACATTATTTCATGGGTATAGAAATATAGAGTGAACACCAAGCCTAAATGGCTTTACTGGAGAATTTTTTTCAAATATTTTAGGGTAAAAATAACTTTACTCTTATATAAACAATTTTAATGAATACAAAAAAGGGTGTAGTAACCAACACATCATATTAGGTTAGCAAGAATATGAAGAATAAAAATTACAGATCCATTTTAGTAAAAACATATAGATACAAAAAATTCTAAATTACATATATTTAGCAAATTGAATCCAGCAATATGTAGAAAAAATACAATAATGATCAAGTTGGTTTTATTTCAGTAATGCCAGATTATTTATCCTTAAAAATTATTCAGTGTAATTCATCACACTAACAATATATTAGAGAAAAAAGTATATGATCACATTAATAGCTCAGAAGAAAATACTTGACAAATTTAGCATCTGACCCCATAATGAAAACTCATAGCAAATTAGAAACAGTGATATTCTTAATCTGATGAAAGGTGTCTACAAAAACCACAACATATGTCATTCTTAATGGTGAGATGTTGAATTTTTTTTTTAATTGGGAGCAATGGAAGGATTCCAATATCACTACTTCTGCCTAACATTTCACCAGATATCCCAGCCTGTGCACTAAGGCAATAAAGAACAGTAAAAGACAAAAGGATTAGAAATAAACAAATGAAGCTGTCATTTTTCATGAATTATTTGATCATATATGTAGACCATCCAAATAATTTACCTATAAATTATTAGAAATAATAAAAAGAATTCAAAATTTAACAACATTGCTGGATTAAAAATCAATATAAAAACTCTATTATTCTATTTACCAGCATTAACATCGTGAAAATACAACTTTTAAAAAGATGCCATTTGGGCTAGTTTTCATGAAAACAAGTATCTAGGGTCAAATCTAACAAGGGATGTTATGAAATCTCTACTTAAATAATTGTGGAATGTTATGACAAAATTAATGAAAAGCTAAATGGAAGGATGCGCAATAAAAGTGGATTGAAAGACTGTTAAAAATATGAATTATCTACAAAATGCTTTAAAATTTCAATGAACTCCTAATCAAAATCCAAATAGTTTTTAGACATGTATACATATGTATATGAAAATGAAAATGGCTAAGATAATCCAAGGTTTTTTTTAAGAATAAAACAAGATAGAAAGATTTGGTGTATTAAATATAAGACATTTTAAGAAGCTACAGCAACTAAGACACTGTTATGTTAATAGAGCAATAGATAGATAATCTAATGTAACAGAAGTTAATTACATCCATAAATGACTACTTGATTTGTTTATGGTGCAGAATGGTAGGGAAAAGATCTCTTCAATAAATGTTTCTGGAACAATTTTAAACATTTGATTGAAAAACAAAGAAACGAACTTGATCTCAATTTCTCACCATACATAAATGCCAATTTCAGATAGACTGCTGATCTAAATGTAAAAGGCAAAACAATTAAACTTATAAGATACAGAGAAAAAATCTTCATATTCTTGTCATTACTAAATTGTTCTTTAAAGAGTACACAAGAAGCAGTATCCTAAAGAAAAAAGATTGAAATGTGATACGTTGAAATTAGGAACATCTATACATGAATGACTTCATTAAGAGAGGAAAAATGGAATGGAAAAGGACATTGTAAATGTATTAACTGATAAAGGATTTGTCAGGATATAAAAATAACTCTTAAATATTTAGAGCAAAGCAATAGAAACTCCAACAGAAAATGGCAAAGGCTTTGAATAGGCATTTCACAGAAGAGGAAATTCAGATGGCCAATATTAACATATAAAGAAGTGCTTAACTTCATGAGTTATCTGAAAAATTCAACTTAAAAGCATAATGAGATGTCACTTGCTTTTGCCAACATAGCTGAAATGAACAATTCTGTGATGGCAGGTGTTGACAAGAATGGGATCAACAGTAACATTTATATCCTGTAGGTTAAAGTGTGAGCAAGAACAAATACTGGAAAATAATTTTGACATCATCTATTAAAGTTGAAGATACACATATCCTGTGACCCAACAATCTTATTTGTCATGTAGGAAACTCTCTCGTTGCAATAGTAGGCTCCAAGTACACTATCAGGCATTCTATCCCAAAACTCATGAAACACGATAATTCACAGGCTAAACTGAAATGCTTAAATCCATATGGTTTATTGACCCAGTTTAAAACTAACCTCAGTAATAAGGGGAAATACGGGGCACAAATGGGATGGAAGTACTGAACTTCCTAAGTCCTGTATTATACAATGTTTATGTCTTCCTCAGTCTCCCTCACTCTCACTTTGTCTCTCTTTCTCTGTCTCTGTCTCTCTTTTTCTCTCTCTCTCTCTCTCCACTTCCCACACCAGTCTTGTTAATGGTTCAATTACAAGAACCAGAGCTGAGTTTGAAGAAGGAGGCCCAGCAGAGGGAAGGCACCTGAATTGAACACACATTTGCTCATTGGGAAAATTGTTGAGGCAAACATACTTCTACACAGTTGGAGCTCACCCAATTAGCCTGATGAGCTAACATGGAGTTTATCTGTTTCTTGGGGCACAGAAAAGATGGAGCACGTGTGGGACCTTAATGGGTGCCACCAATGGGAAGTGGGTTAAGACCTCATGAATATTGGGCTCCTCATGTGCATCCTGAATATTTAGTGTAGCATAAATATTGTGTGCTCTATATGCTTCATGAGTATTTGGGATCTCAGGTACCTTATGAATATTTAGCTTGGTCTTCCAACTTTTTCTACATATGTTTAGCACACATTTCTCTTTACTTTGTGTAGGTCTAATATGTGTCACAAACTTTTAAGCTTCTTATTTGTTTTTCTTTTTTTCCTAAAGTAGAACTGAATATTCTTAAATAATATAATAGAAAAACACTATAATACTTCAGGGCATATAACACAGAAATGCATGCTTATATGCTTCAGGATGGAAGTATAAAAACACAGCAGATGTAAATTAACCAAAGCTTGGCTAAATAAATTAAAATTTATAGAATGGCATACTATACAGCAGGGAAAAATAAATAATTGAGATCTGTCAGTAACAACCTGAATAAATCTTAAAAATCTAATGTGAATGAAAGAAGCCAACCCCCAAATAATGCATGCGTTAAGATTCCATTTATATTAAGTTCAAAAAAGAGTCAAAATAAAACTATAGGTACAATCTAAGGATCCAACTTCTGAAATGGGGTCATGAGGAGTTTTACAGATCTGGTCCCTGGTGAAAAGTGGCTTTCTTTTTGTATGACAAAACCAGTTATATAAAAAAAGAAAACGACTTAAAGTCTCTGAAAATTGTCCTAAGAGCATGCAGCAAATAAATACATATTTATTCAAGAAAATATATGAAATCTGAGTAAAGACTGTAAGTTTATGACACAGCAACCATTGCTTGCTCCTTCCTCCTTCCTTCAGCTCATCACAACAGAAGCTCCACTTCAGGTAGGGGTTACAAAGGATATGGGCTCTCTTTTCCTCCAGCTTCCTGCCAGCATTGCTCATCAGTGCTACAACTCCATGTGACAGAAGACAAATTCCACATGGGCATTGTTGAGAGGTCAGATGCTCTCTTCATCCACCTAGCCTCCACTTATAGGAAGGAAGCCATACACCTGATATGATAGGGTCAGAATACTGGTTGCCTGTGCCCTAGCTTGATTGTACAGTGAAGGTCAAGAGAGGCAAGCTTAGAAGACTGAAGGCTACTGATCACACTCAATGCCCATCCTTTTGGTAATGCATGAGTGCCAATCTGAGAGAAGCAGATAACTGTTCCAGCTGTGGAGCAGTGGTTAAGAGAGTATGTATAGGAGGAGAGACAGGCTATAAGAATAAACAGTTTTGAAGTTTTTCCCAAGGGAATTGATTTTATTTTGAAAGTTTAAGTCTAAGTGTGCTCTCAGAAGCAATGGAGATTTTGGTAAGCAATTGAGAGGAGGCTGGTAGGTCCATGAAAGCAACAAGATAAACTGTAGGCCAGCTAGTTTACCTGAGAGAACCAGGGAAAGAGAGATATAAGAGCCCTCTTGGTGTCAGAAGAAACCTCAAAGACTACCTGTGCAAAGCTACCTGTGTAAAGAAGCCAAAATTTAATTAGAGTAGACTGCAGATTAATTTATGTTCTAGAATATTTTCTAAAACAATAGAGCAATTAGCTGGCAATTAGTGGAGCCTAATAGCTTGGAGTGATAACAGTGACAGAAGGCTTAACAGAAAGATCATGGAAAGAGAAACTTGAGAGAGCCTTGCTAAAGCCACTGGCATCCCAGGGTGACTATGCACGTGACCAAGGCTACACTCTGCAGAGTAGGATCAGAGGCTTCATGCTGTGGGGCAATTTGTAAAAACTGTAATATCTGCAAAGTGCAATAAAGTGAAATGCAATAAAACAAGGTATACCTGTATTTACACAGTGAAATAATGTTTGGCAATAAAACAGAATGAGGTACTGATATATGCTTAAACATGAGAGAACTTTGAAGACATTTTGCTAAGTGAAAAGCTAGTCATGAAAGAGTTTATATTGTATGATTCCACTTTTAAAAAATATAAGGTAAATCTACAGACACAGAAAGTAGATTATTTTCTCAAGGGTTGGGGTGTTGGATTAAAAAAATGGGAAGTGAGTGCTTTTTTGGCAGTGAAGAAAGTGAAGAAAATGTTTTACAATCATGATGATGGCTGTACAACTCTTTGAATTTATTAAAACTATTGAATTATATATTTTAGGTTGGCAAATTGCATGATATGTACATTGTATCTTTATTATACTGCTATATTTAAAAAAACGAAACCAGTAGTGTTCAGGAATGCATGCTTAGGTGGTGAAATTGTAAAACAAGTCAAGGGAGTGAATGCTATAAAACTCAGAATGTGGTTTCTTCTGTGAGAGAAAAGGGATTAAATTAGCGATAAAGAAATGTGAAAAGGAGGATGATTCTGGAGTGGTGTTTATTTCTATTTCTTGACCTAGATGGGTCAAGATGGTTACACACATCTTATTTTATAATAATACATTAGTCTGTCCATTTATGTTTTAAATATGTTTGTGTAGTTGTGTAATACTTCAGAGTAAAAATATAATTAAAAAATTATACAAAGGAATGAATTGGAAAGATGATGAAATTATGAGTGAGATAAACCCATTAATTGATCAGAAATGCAGGCGCACACATACTACTAGGAAGGGAGGTCTGGTTTAGCCAGAACCCCCGTCCTTCATATCAGATTATCCAGGAGATCTAATTGGGTTTCTCATCCTCTACCAAACTCAATCCCTAGTGATGTTTGATCAACCTGGCTTGTCTTTAGCAAGAATCCCACTAGGTCAGTTTAGCTAAAATTCCCTTTTATCTCTCATATTTCCTCTCAGTAATTTGTCATCCACTGATCCCCCACCCTTTGCTATATATTCCCAGTTGCCTATGTTGTATTTGGAATTGAGCCCAGTTCTATACAAAGGACTCCTTCCCTCTATTAGTCCCGAATAAAATCTATTTTTACCACTTTACTATCCAGCTGTACAGGTAAAAAGGTGTGATATGTTTTCTCACCTATAATAAGAGTCACAGCTGACATTCCTATAACAAAAGATAGGTTAATAAGAGGAAAGCATAACACTTTTATTTAATCAAAGTGTTACTTGATACAAGAGCCTTCAGAAATGAAGACCCAAGGACCCAGAGAAAACTGCCCTTTTTTATGCTTATGTTTAGTGAAGAATGGACAGCCAGGTGGAAATGTGATTGGACAAAAGGATATAATTTAAAGGTGAGAGAATGAGGGGGAAAACCCAGCAAGGCCTGCCTGTTCAGATTCTTCTTGACTTCTTTCTGTAACATTCCTTCTTTCTGGGTATAGGGCAGGATTACTCTGGAATGAGGGTCTTGAAAGGAGAAGAGAGAAGCGACTTTTTGGCTTTATGGCTGACTTCGGGGGAGAGGGGTTCTAATTTCTATGAACTGCCTTGCAGAAGAGTAATTTTGGTTTTGGTGAATTGCTTCAGGGGGAGAAAGATGGTTGGGAGACAGAAGAACAGGAGAAGATCAGACAGACTTTGCTTTTGAGGCCTTCCAATCTCCTTAGGTCAAAGTAATCAGCATACCAAAGTAATGTTCTTTGGGCTATCGTATTCTGAGCCCCAACACAGCTCTGGTTTTCTTTGACAGTAGCTAGCAATTTTCTTTCCCATTTTTCAGCTTAGAAAACAGAGGATCAGGCGGGGGGCAGCCAAGATGGCCAAATAGGAACAGCTCTGGTCTATAGCTCCCAGCGTAAGCAACGCAGAAGACAAGTGATTTCTGCATTTCCATCTGAGGTACCGGGTTCATCTCACTAGGGAGTGCCAGAGAGTGGGCACAGGACAGTGGGTGCAGCACACCATGCATGAGCCAAAGCAGGGCGAGGCATTGACTCACTCAGGAAGTGCAAGGGGTCAGGGAGTTCCCTTTCCTAGCCAAAGAAAGGGGTGACAGACGGCACCTGGAAAATTGGGTCACTCCCACCTAATACTGCACTTTTCTGACGGGCTTAAAAAATGGTGCACTAGGAGATTATATCCTGCACCTGGCTCGGAGGGTCCTATGCCCACGGAGTCTCTCTGCTAGCACAGCAGTCTGAGATCAAACTGCAAGGCAGCAGCGAGGCTGGGGGAGGGGTGCCCACGATTGCCCAGGCTTCTTTAGGCAGCCAGGAAGCTCAAACTGGGTGGAACCCACCACAGCTCAAGGAGGCCTGCCTGCCTCTGTAGGCTTCACCTCTGGGGGCAGGGCACAAACAAACAAAAAGACAGCAGTAACCTCTGCAGACTTAAATGTCCCTGTCTGACAGCTTTGAAGAGAGCAGTGGTTCTCCCAGCATGCAGCTGGAGATCTGAGAATGGGCACACTGCCTCCTCCAGGTGGGTCCCTGACCCCTGACCCCCAAGCAGCCTAAATGGGAGGCACCCCCCAGTAGGGGCAGACTGAAACCTCACACGGCCGGGTACCCCTCTGAGACAAAACTTCCAGAGGACCGATCAGACAGCAGCATTTGCGGTTCACAAAAATCCATTGTTCTGCAGCCGCTGCTTCTGATACACAGGCAAACAAGTTCTGGAGTGGACCTCTAGCAAACTCCAACAGACCTGCAGCTGAGGGTCCTTTCTGTTAGAAGGAAAACTAACAAACAGAAAGGACAGCCACACCAAAACCCCATCTGTACATCACCATCATCAAAGACCAAAAGTAGATAAAACTACAAACATGGGGAAAAAACAGAGCAGAAAAACGAAACTCTAAAAAGCAGAGCGCCTCTTCTCCTCCAAAGGAATGCAGTTCCTCACCAGCAACAGAACAAAGTGGGATGGAGAATGACTTTGATGAGTTGAGAGAAGAAGGCTTCAGATGATCAAACTACTCCAAGCTACAGGAGGAAATTCAAACCAAAGGCAAAGAAGTTAAAAACTTTGAAAAAAATTTAGACGAATGTATAACTAGAATAATCAATACAGAGAAGTGCTTAAAGGAGCTGATGGAGCTGAAAGCCAAGGCTCGAGAACTACGTGAAGAATGCAGAAGCCTCAGGAGATGATGCGATCAACTGGAATAAAGGGTATCAGTGATGGAAGATGAATGAAATAAAGTGAGAAGGGAAGTTTAGAGAAAAAAGAATAAAAAGAAAGGAACAAAGCCTCCAAGAAATATGGGACTATGTGAAAAGACCAAATCTATGTCTGATTGGTGTACCTGAAAGTGACGGGGAGAATGGAACCAAGTTGGAAAACACTCTGCAGGATATTATCCAGGAGAACTTCCCCAATCTATCAAGGCAGGCCAACATTCAGATTCAGGAAATACAGAGAATGCCACAAAGATACTCCTCAAGAAGAGCAATTCCAAGACACAAAATTGTCAGATTCACCAAAGATGAAACGAAGGAAAAAATGTTAAGGGCAGCCAGAGAAAAAGGTCAGGTTACCCACAAAGGGAAGCCCATCAGACTAACAGCGGATCTCTCAGCAGAAACCCTATATGCCAGAAGAGAGTGGGGGCCAATATTCAACATTCTTAAAGAAAAGAATTTTCAACCCAGAATTTCATATCCAGTCAAACTAAGCTTCATAAGTGAAGGAGAAATAAAATACTTTACAGACAAGCAAATGCTGAGAGATTTTGTCACCACCAGGCCTGCCCTAAAAGAGCTCCTGAAGGAAGCACTAAACATGGAAAGGAACAACTGGTACCAGCCACTGCAAAATCATGCCGAATTGTAAAGACCATCAAGGCTAGGAAGAAACTGCATCAACTAACGAGCAAAATAACCAGCTAACATCATCATGACAGGATCAAATTCACACATAAAAATATTAACTTTAAATGTAAATGGACTAAATGCTCCAATTAAAAGACACAGACTGGCAAATTGGATAAAGAGTCAAGACCCATCAGTGTGCTGTATTCAGGAAACCCATCTCACGTGCAGAGACACACATAGGCTCAAAATAAAAGGATGGAGGAAGATCTACCAAGCAAATGGAAAACAAAAAAAGGCAGGGGTTGCAATCCTAATTTCTGATAAAACAGACTTTAAACCAACAAAGATCAAAAGAGACAAAGAAGGCCATTACATAATGGTAAAGGGATCAATTCAACAAGAAGAGCTAACTATCCTAAATATATATGCACCCAATACAGGAGCACCCAGATTCATAAAGCAAGTCCTGAGTGACGTACAAAGAGACTTAGACTCCCACACAATAACAATGGGAGACGTTAACACCCCACTGTCAACATTAGACAGATCAACAAGACAGAAAGTTAACAAGGATACCCAGGAATTAAACTCAGCTCTGCACCAAGCAGACCTAATAGACATCTACAGAACTCACCACCAGAAATCAAGAGAATATACATTTTTTTCAGCACCACACCACACCTATTCCAAAATTGACCACATAGTTGGAAGTAAAGCTCTCCTCAGCAAATGTAAAAAAACAGAAATTATAACAAACTGTCTCTCAGACCACAGTGCAATCAAACTAGAACTCAGGATTAAGAAACTGACTCAAAACTGCTCAACTACATGGAAACTGAACAACCTGCTCCTGAATGACTAATGGGTACATAACAAAATGAAGGCAGAAATAAAGATGTTGTTTGAAACCAATGAGAACAAAGACACACCATACCAGAATCTCTGGGACACATTCAAAGCAGTGTGTAGAGGGAAATTTATAGCACTAAATGCCCACAAGAGAAAGCAGGAAAGATCCAAACTTCACACCCTAACATCACAATTAAAAGAACTAGAAAAGCAAGAGCAAACACATTCAAAAGCTAGCAGAAGGCAAGAAATAACTAAAATCAGAGCAGAACTGAAGGAAATAGAGACACAAAAAACCCTCCAAAAATTAATGAATCCAGGAACTGGTTTTTTGAAAGGATCAACAAAATTGATAGACCGCTAATGAGACTAATAAAGAAAAAAAGTGAGAAGAATCAAATAGATGCAATAAAAAATGATAAAGGGGATATCACCACCGATCCCACAGAAATACAAACCACCATCAGAGAATACTACAAACACCTCTATGCAAATAAACTAGAAAATCTAGAAGAAATGGATAAATTCATCAACACATACACCCTCCCAAGACTAAACCAGGAAGAAGTTGAATCTCTGAATAGATCAATAACAGGCTCTGAAATTGTGGCAATAATCAATAGCTTACCAACCAAAAAGAGTCTGGGACCAGATGGAATCACAGCCAAATTCTACCAGAGGTACAAGGAGGAACTGGTACCATTCCTTCTGAAACTATTCCAATCAATAGAAAAAGAGGGAATCCTCCCTAACTCATTTTATGATGCCAGCATCATCCTGATACCAAAGCCGGGCAGAGACACAACCAAAAAAGAGAATTTTAGACGAATATCCTTGATGAACATTGATGCAAAAATCATTAATAAAATACTGGCAAAGCGAATCCAGCAGCACATCAAAAAGCTTATCCACCATGATCAAGTGGGCTTCATCTCTGGGATGCAAGGCTGGTTCAATATACGCAAATCAATAAAAGTAATCCAGCATATAAACAGAACCAAAGACAATAACCACATGATTATCTCAATAGATGCAGAAAAGGCTTTGACAAATTTCAACAACCTTCATGCTAAAAACTCTCACTAAATAAGGTATTGATGGGACATATCTCAAAATAATAAGAGCTATCTATGACAAACCCACAGCCAATATCATACTGAATGGGCAAAAACTGGAAGCATTCCCTTTGAAAACTGGCACAAGACAGGGATGCCCTCTCTCACCACTCCTATTCAACATAGTGTTGGAAGTTCTGGCCAGGGAAATTAGGCAGGAGAAGGAAATAAAGAGTATTCAATTAGGAAAAGAGGAAGTCAAATTGTCCCTGTTTGTAGATGACATGATTGTATATCTAGAAAACCCCATTGTCTCAGCCCAAAATCTCCTTAAGCTGATAAGCAACTTCAGCAAAGTCTCAGGATACAAAATCAATGTAAAAAATCACAAGCATTCTTATACACCAATAACAGACAAACAGAGAGCCAAATCATGGGTGAACTCCCATTCACAATTGCTTCAAAGAAAATAAAATACCTAGGAATCCAACTTACAAGGGACGTGAGGGACCTCTTCAAGGAGAACTACAAACCACTGCTCAATGAAATAAAAGAGGATACAAAGAAATGGAAGAACCTTCCATGCTCATGGGTAGGAAGAATCAATATCATGAAAATGGCCATACTGCCCAAGGTAATTTATAGATTCAATGCCATCCCCATCAAGCTACCAATGACTTTCTTCACAGAATTGGAAAAAACTACTTTAAAGTTCATATGGAACCAAAAAAGAGCCTGCATCACCAAGTCAATCCTAAGCCAAAAGAACAAAGCTGGAGCCATCACGCTACCTGACTTCAAACTATACTACAAGGCTACAGTAAGCAAAACAACATGGTACTGGTGCCAAAACAGAGATATAGATGAGTGGAACAGAACAGAGCCCTCAGAAATAACACCTCATATCTACAACTGTCTGATCTTTGAGAAACCTGAGAAAAACAAGCAATGGGGAAAGGATTCCCTATTTAATAAATGGTGCTGGGAAAACTGGCTAGCCATATGTAGAAAGCTGAAACTGGATCCCTTCCTTACACCTTATACAAAAATTAATTCAAGATGGATTAAAGACTTAAACATTAGACCTAAAACCATAGAAACCCTAGAAGAAAACCTAGGCATTACCATTCAGGACATAGGCATGGGCAAGGACTTCATGTCTAAAACACCAAAAGCAATGGCAACAAAAGACAAAATTGACAAATGGGATCTAATTAAACTAAAGAGCTTCTGCACAGCAAAAGAAACTACCATCAGCGTGAACAGGCAACCTACAAAATGGGAGAAAATTTTCGCAACCTACTCATCTGACAAAGGGCTAATATCCAGAATCTACAATGAACTCAAACAAATTTACAAGAAAAAAACAACCCCATCAAAAAGTGGGCAAAGGACATGAACAGACACTTCTCAAAAGAAGACATTTATGCAGCCAAAAAATACATGAAAAAATGCTCACCAGCACTGGCCATCAAAGAAATGCAAATCAAAACCACAATGAGATACCATCTCACACCAGTAAGAATGGCAATCATTATAAAGTCAGGAAACAACAGGTGCTGGAGAGGATGTGGAGAAATAGGAACACTTTTACACTGTTGGTGGGACTGTAAACTAGTTCAACCATTGTGGAAGTCAGTGTGGCGATTCCTCAGGGATCTATAACTAGAAATACCATTTGACCCAGCCATCCCATTACTGGGTATATACCCAAAGGACTATAAATCATGCTGCTATAAAGACACATGCACACATATGTTTATTGTGGCACTATTCACAATAGCCAAGACTTGGAACCAACCCAAATGTCCAACAACGATAGACTGGATTAAGAAAATGTGGCGTATATACACCATGGAATACTATGCAGCCATAAAAAATGATGAGTTCATGTCCTTTGTAGGGTCATGGATGAAATTGGAAATCATCATTCTCAGTAAACTATCACAAGAACAAAAAACGAAATACCACATGTTCTCACTCATAGATGGGAATTGAACAATGAGAACACATGGATAGGGGAAGGGGAACATCACACTCTGGGGACTGTTGTGGGGTGGGGGGAGGGGGGAGGGATAGCTTTAGGAGATATACCTAACGCTAAATGACGAGTCAATGGGTGCAGCACACCAGCATGTCACATGTATACATATGTAACTAACCTGCACAATGTGCACATGTACCCTAAAACTTAAAGTCTAATAATCATAAAATAAAAGAAAAAGAAAAGAGAGGATCAGAAATTTCAAGTGACTCACATAAGTTCACCCATTTGGAGTGTGGCCGTTCAGGCACTACAATTTAATTTATCTCTAGAAACTGTTTCTCAGTCTCTACATTTGAGCAGTAATACGTTTAACATGACTTCACCATCCCTACCTCTCCTATTCACCTTTGTTTCTTGTCCACCACTTGAGAGAGGCAGGAAAGGCCTTATTTACTCCTGTCTAAGAGATAGAAAGGAAGACTTATTAGTCTTAAAGTGACTCATACAAAGATACTGCTAAGACATGACAGGTAAAATTCAAATCCAGTTCACTTGTCTGCAGGTCCACACATTTCCTTGACACCCAGGAGAGCTTGTTGATCATTAGGTGCTCAGGTCACATGGCCACATTTCTATCAGGCTTTTTTTTCCTTTTTTTTTTTTTTTTTTTTTTTTGTCCGAGTGTTTGTTTGGTCGTTTCGTTTTTGTTTTTACCATAGAGTTACTGAAGAAAAACCAAATTCAAACGTGCATATCTTCTTGAGTCCCTTGAGAATGCTTTAATTGTCTTAAATTGTTTAGGCACATCTTGTTCTAAGCTGAACCTCTTGCACTGCAAGCTGAAATTCTACCCTGCTTTTTGGAGAGTCTGCTCCTCTCTAGCCTCTTCAGCCTTTGCAGAAACAGCAGAGTATGGACTAAATCCTCTGGAGATATTTTCTCCCTAAAGTCTCCTCTGCCCTCCCACACAAATGCTGGAACCTCATTAATACCCCCTGTAGGAGTTCATTCATTTCTTCCCGTATAACCACAGGGAACTCAACAGCTCTTAAGGGCTCTCCTTACCAGCCAAATAATAAAATACATTGACAACTGTTTCTTTGGCAGCTTGATATAATTAGAGATATTTGCATCTCCTAATTTTTCACACTTCTCAAGAACAATGTGAGTTAATGACAGCATAGGGTCCTGGTTTCCCAGCTTCCCTTCATAGAATGTCAGAACTGAAAAGGGGCCTATTTTTAAGAACTGTTCTGACTTCTACAAATGAGGAAACAAGGTCTCAAAAGGAAAATGACAGGCTTAAATTGAGTTAGTGGCTGAGAAAAGATTAGAAACCAGGTCTTCTAACTCTTAGGTCTGTGCTCTTTCTTCAGTTTTATATTGCATGAGTTTAGATTACAAGATCAGCTACATCTCAATTGCTGATGTTATCTTGGCAATCGAGGTTGTAGTCTCAAAAGGAGCACAATTGTGGGGATATCTAGAAAATGAGCCTCTCAATTCAGAAATATCTCAGACTGCTAATATTCAAAGAAATAGCAAATGTTAATGATAGAAATATAATTGCAAGGCGACAGCAAAGAAATAAGACTATTTTAAGGGAAATGGTCCTCAGGATTATGACATAAGAAGAAGCTAATACCTTTTAAATCTAAAAGCACATGCATTGAATATCAGAATATTATCAGTCATTATGACAAACAGTATGGAAAATTATTTCGGGCAAGGTTGGTATGCAAAGCATACCTACTAATATAGAAGTAGGAAAGCTTGGTTATATGGTTCACCTTTGTAGTCTGATTGGTTGGTGGAAAAGGACACAGACATGAACTAAGAAGGTATGGGTTATAATCTTGATCCCAAAAGTGGTTAGCAGAGGTGACTCTTTCCGAATCTTAGATTTGCATTGACAAAATGAGAAAAATGGACTAGATCTATAGTTTCTGAAACTTTAGTGTGCATAAGAATCATCTAGGGACCTTAGTAAAAAGCAGATTCCAGAAATTTATTCCCAGAGATTCTGATTCAATGAATTGGGGTAGGGCCTTTAAATCTGCATTGTATCAAGTACCTAAGAAGATTCTTATGAAGGTGCTTCTAGGACCATGCTTGAAAAAAAATACTAAGAAAAAAAAAAACCACATCAAAGGTCTGATATTTTGTAACTTTTGCTTCCTACCTACTTAAACCTAGCAAATACTGAAATTCTCTGCTATTTAATAGCACTTTCAGATCATTATCTGTTTGCTACTTTGGGTCCTAAGACCACATATTCAATTTATGTATCAAACCACGAGCTTATGTGGAGTCCAATGCAGCCTAGCAGGAGGAAACCCAAGTCTGAATTCCAATGCGAAGTGTTAGCCTATTTGGCTATGACTTAATTTCCTTTGACTTCCCAGGTTGATGTAAGAGGCCTCTTGGTACTTTCAAAATAGTCGAATAAGAAGAGGCCTCTCTAATTCTTTAATTAAGCAAGCTTTGACCTTCAAGACTCTAATTGCTCTTGACATCTAACTTATTGCTTAATTAAAACATGATGAGATATGAGACCTCCCTTCTGGAAAAGTAGAGAGTCATGGTTAGGTCTATTTTATTAAACTCCCTCTTTTATCTGGAAGGCATGGACTAAGATTATCATAGAACAATATCCCATCTCAAGGAGAAAGGATCCAGCAGGCACCAAACCTGAGGTGAGTCATTATCCTTCTGAAACAAAAAGAGTTTATGAAATTATCAGGCAGAGAGATAAAAAAAAAATAATTAAATCATTTTGCTGAATTACAGTAAAAGAGAAAACATTGAAAAATTAAAAATGGCTCTCCCTCTCCCTCTCCCCAAGGTCCCCCTTTCCCCACGGTCTCCCTCTCCCCATGGTCTCCCTCTCCCTCTCTTTCCACGGTCTCCCTCTCATGCCAAGCTGAAGCTGGACTGTGCTGCTGCCATCTCGGCTCACTGCAACCTCCCTGCCTGATTCTCCTGCCTCAGCCTGCAGTGCCTGCGATTGCAGGCACGCGCCGCCACGCCTGACTGGTTTTCGTATTTTTTTGGTGGAGACGGGGTTTCGCTGTGATGGCCGGGCTGGTCTCCAGCTCCTAACCACGAGTGACCCGCCAGCCTCGGCCTCCCGAGGTGCCGGGATTGCAGACGGAGTCTCGTTACCTCAGTGCTCAATGGTGCCCAGGCTGGAGTGCAGTGGCGTGATCTCGGCTAGCTACAACCTCCACCTCCCAGCCGCCTGCCTTGGCCCCCCAAAGTGCCGAGATTGCAGCCTCTGCCAGGCCGCTATCCTGTCTGGGAAGTGAGGAGCGTCTCTGCCTGGCCGCCCATCGTCTGGGATGTGAGGAGCCCCTTTGCCTGGCTGCCCAGTCTGGAAAGTGAGGAGTGTCTTTGCCTGGCCACCATCCCACCTAGGAAGTGAGGAGCGCCTCTTCCTGGCCGCCATCCCATCTAGGAAGTGAGGGGCGTCTCTGCCCGGCCACCCATCATCTGAGATGTGGGGAGCGCCTCTGCCCCGCTGCCCCGTCTGGGATGTGAGGAGCATCTCTGCCCGGCCGTGACCCTGTCTGGGAGGTGAGGAGCATCTCTGCCCGGCCGCCCTGTCTGAGAAGTGAGGAGACCCTCCGCCTGGCAACCGCCCCGTCTGAGAAGTGAGGAGCCCCTCCGCCCGGCTGCCACCCCGTCTGGGAAGTGAGGAGCGTCTCCGCCCGGCAGCCACCCTGTCCGGGAGGGAGGTGGGGGTCAGCCCCACCAGGCGAGCCCCCCTGTCCGGGAGGGAGGTGGGGGGTCAGCCCCCTACCCGGCCAGCCGCCCCGTCCGGGAGGTGAGGGGCGCCTCTGCCCGGCTGCCCCTACTGGGAAGTGAGGAGCCCCTCTGCCCGGCCAGCCGCCCCGTCCGGGAGGGAGGTGGGTGGTCAGCCCCCCGCCCGGCCAGCTGGCCCGTCCGGGAGGGAGGTTGGGGGGTCAGCCCCCCACCCGGCCAGCTGCCCCGTCCGGGAGGGAGGTGGGGGAGTCAGCCCCCCGCCAGGCGAGCCGCGCCATCCGGGAGAGAGTTGGGGGGTCAGCCCCCTGCCCGGCCAGCCGCCCCGTCCGGGAGGTGAGGGGCGCCTCTGCCCAGCCGCCCCTACTGGGAAGTGAGGAGCCCCTCTGCCCGGCCAGCCGCCCCGTCCGGGACGGAGGTGGGGGAGTCAGCCCCCCGCCCGGCCAGCCGCCCCATCCGGGAGGGAGGTGGGGGGTCAGCCCCCTGCCCGGCCAGCCGCCCCGTCCAGGAGGTGAGGGGCGCCTCTGCCCAGCCGCCCCTACTGGGAAGTGAGGAGCCCCTCTGCCCGGCCAGCCGCCCCATCCGGGAGGGAGGTGGGGGAGTCAGCCCCCCGCCCGGCCAGCCGCCCCATCCGGGAGGGAGGTGGGGGGGCCAGCCCCCTGCCCGGCTAGCCGCCCCGTCCGGGAGGGAGGTGGGGGGGTCAGCCCCCCGCCCCGCCAGCCGCCCCATCCAGGAGGTGAGGGGCGCCTCTGCCTGGCCGCCCCTACTGGGAAGTGAGGAGCCGCTCTGCCCAGCCACCACCCTGTCTGGGAGGTGTACCCAACAGCTCATTGAGAACGGGCCATGATGACAATGGCGGATTTGTGGAATAGAAAAGGGGGAAAGGTGGGGAAAAGATTGAGAAATTGGATGGTTGCTGTGTCTGTGTAGAAAGAAGTAGACATGGGAGACTTTTCATTTTGTTCTGTACTAAGAAAAATTCTTCTGCCTTGGGATCCTGTTGATCTATGACCTTACCCCCAACCCTGTGCTCTCTGAAACATGTGCTGTGTCCACTCAGGGTTAAATGGATTAAGGGCGGTGCAAGATGTGCTTTGTTAAACAGATGCTTGAAGGCAGCATGCTCCTTAAGAGTCATCACCACTCCCTAATCTCAAGTACCCAGGGACACAAACACTCTGCCTAGGAAAACCAGATACCTTTGTTCACTTGTTTATCTGCTGACCTTCCCTTCTATTGTCCTATGACCCTGTCAAATCCCCCTCTGCGAGAAACACCCAAGAATGATCAATAAAAAAAAAGAAAAGAAAAATTAAAAATGATGGCATTTCAATGAGCAACTGAATATGAATAATTATTTTTTCCCATTTAAAAACAAATACAAAATGATTCCAATTTTCATTATTAATGTGTCCTTTTATGGCTTTTTAAGTGCTTCTGCATCTGTAGGAAAAAAAAATATTTGAGGAAGCCTTCTTTTGTGAAAGTTATTGAGAGTTTTAAAAGATGAGGTGTTTAGGGAAGTTTAGACAAAAAAGAATAAAAAGAAATGAACAAACCTCCAAGAAATATGGCACTATGGGAAAAGACCAAATCTATGTCTGATTGGTGTACCTGAAAGTGACGGGGAGAATGGAACCAAGTTGGAAAACACTCTGCAGGATATTATGCAGGAGAACTTCCCCAATCTATCAAAGCAGGCCAACATTCAGATTCAGGAAATACAGAGAATGCCACAAAGATACTCCTCAAGAAGAGCAATTCCAAGACACAAAATTGTCAGATTCACCAAAGTTGAAATGAAGGAAAAAATGTTAAGGGCAGCCAGAGAGAAAGGTCAGGTTACCCACAAAGGGAAGCCCATCAGACTAACAGCGGATCTCTCAGCAGAAACCCTATAAGCCAGAAGAGAGTGGGAGCCAATATTCAACATTCTTAAAGAAAAGAATTTTCAACCCAGAATTTCATATCCAGCCAAACTAAGCTTCATAAGTGAAGGAGAAATAAAATACTTTACAGACAAGCAAATGCTGAGAGATTTTGTCACCACCAGGCCTGCCCTAAAAGAGCTCCTGAAGGAAGCACTAAACATGGAAAGGAACAACTTGTACCAGCCACTGCAAAATCATGCCGAATTGTAAAGACCATCGAGGCTAGGAAGAAACTGCATCAACTAACGAGCAAAATCACCAGCTAACATCATCATGACAGGATCAAATTCACACATAACAATATTAACTTTAAAAGTAAATGGACTAAATGCTCCAATTAAAAGACACAGACTGGCAAATTGGATAAAGAGTCAAGACCCATCAGTGTGCTGTATTCAGGAAACCCATCTCACATGCAGAGACAAACATAGGCCCAAAATAAAAGGATGGAGGAAGATCTACCAAGCAAATGGAAAACAAAAAAAGGCAGGGGTTGCAATCCTAGTTTCTGACAAAACAGACTTTAAACCAACAAAGATCAAAAGAGACAAAGAAGGCCATTACATAATGGTAAAGGGATCAATTCAACAAGAAGAGCTAACTATCCTAAATATATACACACCCCATACAGGAGCACCCAGATTCATAAAGCAAGTCCTGAGTGACGTACAAAGAGACTTAGACTCCCACACAATAACAATGGGAGACTTTAACACCCCACTGTCAACATTAGACAGATCAACGAGACAGAAAGTTAACAAGGATACCCAGGAATTAAACTCAGCTCTGCACCAAGCGGACCTAATAGACATCTACAGAACTCACCACCCCAAATCAACAGAATATACATTTTTTCCAGCACCACACCACACCTATTCCAAAATTGACCACATAGTTGGAAGTAAAGCTCTCCTCAGCAAATGTAAAAAAACAGAAATTATAACAAACTGTCTCTCAGACATTGCACTGTCTCTCACAGTGCAATCAAACTAGAACTCAGGATTAAGAAACTTACTCATAACCGCTCAACTACGTGGAAAGTGAACAACCTGCTCCTGAATGACTAATGGGTACATAACAAAATGAAGGCAGAAATAAAGATGTTTTTTGAAACCAACGAGAACAAAGACACAACATACCAGAATCTCTGGGACACTTTCAAAGCAGTGTGTAGAGGGAAATGTATAGCACTAAATGCCCACAAGAGAAAGCAGGAAAGATCCAAACTTCACACCCTAACATCACAATTAAAAGAACTAGAAAAGCAAGAGCAAAGACATTCAAAAGCTAGCAGAAGGCAAGAAATAACTAAAATCAGAGCAGAACTGAAGGAAATAGAGACACAAAAAACCCTTCAAAAAATTAATGAATCCAGGAACTGGTTTTTTGAAAGGATCAACAAAATTGATAGACCACTAGTGAGACTAATAAAGAAGAAAAGAGAGAAGAATCAAATACACACAATAAAAAATGATAAAGGGGATATCACCACCAATCCCACAGAAATACAAACTACTATCAGAGAATACTACAAACACCTCTACGCAAATAAACTAGAAAATCTAGAGGAAACGGATAAATTCCTCGACACATACAGCCTCCGAAGACTAAACCAGCAAGAAGTTGAATCTCTGAATAGACCAATAACAGGCTCTGAAATGGTGGCAATAATCAATATCTTACCAACCAAAAAGAGTCCAGGATCAGATGGATTCACAGCCAAATTCTACCAGAGGTACAAGGAGGAACTGGTACCATTCCTTCTGAAACTATTCCAATCAATAGAAAAAGAGGGAATCCTCCCTAACTCATTTTATGAGGCCAGCATCATCCTGATACCAAAGCTGGGCAGAGACACAACGAACAAAGAGAATTTTAGACCAATATCCTTGATGAATATTGATGCAAAAATCCTCAATAAAATACTGGCAAACTGAATCCAGCAGCACATCAAAAAGCTTATCCACCATGATCAAATGGGCTTCATCCCTGGGATGTAAGGCTGGTTCAATATTTGCAAATCAATAAATGTAATCCAGCATATAAACAGAACCAAAGACAATAACCACATGATTATCTCAATAGATGCAGAAAAGGCCTTTGATAAAATTCAACAACCCTTCATGCTAAAAACTCTCAATAAATTAGGTATTGATGGGACGTATCTCAAAATAATAAGAGCTATCTATGACAAACCCACAGCCAATATCATACTGAATGGGCAAAAACTGGAAGCATTCCCTTTGAAAACTGGCACAAGACAGGGATGCCCTCTCTCACCACTCCTATTCAACATAGTGTTGGAAGTTCTGGCCAGGGCAATTAGGCAGGAGAAGGAAATAAAGAATATTCAATTAGGAAAAGAGGAAGTCAAATTGTCCCTGTTTGTAGATGACATGATTGTATATCTAGAAAACCCCATTGTCTCAGCCCAAAATCTCCTTAAGCTGATAAGCAACTTCAGCAAAGTCTCAGGATACAAAATCAATGTAAAAAATCACAAGCATTCTTATACACCAATAACAGACAAACAGAGAGCCAAATCAGGAGTGAACTCCCATTCACTATTGCTTGAAAGAGAATAAAATACCTAGGAATCCAACTTACAAGGGATGTGAAGGACCTCTTCAAGGAGAACTACAAACCACTGCTCAATGAAATAAAAGAGGATACAAAGAAATGGAAGAACATTCCATGCTCATGGGTAGGAAGAATCAATATCGTGAAAATGGCCATACTGCCCAAAGTAATTTATAGATTCAATGCCATCCCCATCAAGCTACCAATGACTTTCTTCACAGAATTGGAAAAAACTACTTTAAAGTTCATATGGAAGCAAAAAAGAGTTCACATTGCCAAGTCAATCCTAAGCCAAAAGAACAAAGCTGGAGCCATCACGCTACCTGACTTCAAACTATACTACAAGGCTACAGTAACCAAAACAACATGGTACTGGTACCAAAACAGAGATATAGATGAATGGAACAGAACAGAGCCCTCAGAAATAACACCACATATCTACAACTGTCTGATCTTTGAGAAACCTGAGAAAAACAAGCAATGGGGAAAGGATTCCCTATTTAATAAATGGTGCTGGGAAAACTGGCTAGCCATATGTAGAAAGCTGAAACTGGATCCCTTCCTTACACCTTATACAAAAATTAATTCAAGATGGATTAAAGACTCATACATTAGACCTAAAAGCATAGAAACCCTAGAAGAAAACCTAGGCATTACCATTCAGGACATAGGCATGGGCAAGGGCTTCATGTCTAAAACACCAAAAGCAATGGCAACAAAAGACAAAATTGACAAATGGGATCTAATTAAACTAAAGAGCTTCTGCACAGCAAAAGAAACTACCATCAGAGTGAACAGGCAATCTAGAAAATGGGGGAAAATTTTCACAACCTACTCATCTGACAAAGGGCTAATATCCAGAATCTGCAATGAACTCAAATTTACAAGAAAAAAACAAACAACCCCATCAAAAAGTGGGCAAAGGACATGAACAGACACTTCTCAAAAGAAGACATTTATGCAGCCAAAAAACACATGAAAAAATGCTCACCATCACTGGCCATCAGAAAAATGCAAATCAAGCCAGAATGAGATACCATCTCACACCAGTTAGAATGGCAATGATTAAAAAGTCAGGAAACAACAGGTGCTGGAGTGGATGTGGAGAAATAGCAACACTTTTACACAGTTGGTGGGTCTGTAAACTAGTTCAACCATTGTGGAAGTCAGTGTGGCAATTCCTCAGGGATCTAGAACTAGAAATACCATTTGACCCAGCCATCCCATTACTGGGTATATACCCAAAGGATTATAAATCATGCTATTATAAAGACACATGCACACGTATGTTTATTGTGGCACTATTCACAATAGCAAAGACTTGGAACCAACCCAAATGTCCAACAATGATATAATGGATTAAGAAAATGTGGCATATATATACCATGGAATACTATGCAGGCATAAAAAATGATGAGTTCATGTCCTTTGTAAGGACAAGGATGAAATTGGAAATCATCATTCTCAGTAAACTATCACAAGGACAAAAAACCAAACACCGCATGTTCTCACTCATAGGTGGGAATTGAACAGTGAGAACACATGGACACAGGAAGGGGAACATCACACTCTGGGGACTGTTGTGGGGTGGGGGGAGGGGGGAGGGATAGCATTAGGAGATATACCTAATGCTAAATGACGAGTTAATGGGTGCAGCACACCAGCATGGCACATGTATACATATGTAACTAACCTGCACATTGTGCACATATACCCTAAAACTTCAAGTATAATAATAATAAAATTAAATTTAAAAAATTTTATAAAACAAACAAAAAAGTAAAAAATAAAAGATGATGTGTTTTATTTTTTGTTTTAAAGACCAACATACTGTATTTCCTCTATTTTCAGAAGGAGGTGTATGAAAAATATTAGGGCAAAAGAAATAAAAGATGTATGAAGTTATGTATGATTTCTCAAGATCATCTTGTTAACTTGAAAAAGTTTTATAAGAAGTAATTACTGTACCACGGAATCTATTTGGGTATTCCAGTGACTTAACTAGATAACTTCACAGAGTTCAAATTCACTGAAGAATTGTGAGCCTTCCAGTCCAATTAGCTAGAATGCCTGGGCACAAAATTTATAATGATGAGATCGTGAAATTCTAACATATTGGAGTGGGAGAGGTCCTTAGAGATCATTGATTCCAAGTCCAATCTTTTACAGCCATGGAAGCTGAGACAGAGGAAAGGACTGAGACAGAGGCAAGAACAGTAGGAGGAAACAGAACCAGGAGTCAACCCTTCTTACCCCTCCCCTCCCAGTATAGTGCCATTTTCCCAACACTTTTGGAATAAGACATATTCCAATGGCCATAATAGTTGTCCTCTCCAGGATTTCTCTGTTGCAAAAAAAGGAATAAGCTAATTTGTTCCTAGATTAAGATTGATAAGTGCAGCAAACCACAATGGCACATATTTGCCTATGTAACAAACCCACACATCCTGCACATATATCCTGGAATGTAAAATTAAATTAAATTTTAAAAGCCCCATGTGGTGGCTCATGCCTGGAATCCCAGCACTTTGGGAGGCCAAGGTGGGCGGAGCATCTGAGCTCAGGAGTTTGAGACCAGCCTGACCAACATGGAGAAACCCTGTCTCTACTAAAAATACAAAATTAGCTGGGTGTAGTGGCGCATGCTTGTAATCCCAGCTACTAGGGAGGTTGAGGCAGGAGAATCACTTGAGCCCAGTAGGCAGAGATTGCTGTAAGCTGAGATCGCGCCATTACACTGCAGCCTGGGCAACAAGAGTGAAAGTCCATCTCAAAAATAAAAAAAAATTAAAAAAAAAATACATCTAAAATGTCTTTTTTATTTGGGTCTATGTGTGTGTGTATTTACATTATTTGAGTCATTTTTTTTTTCAGTTATCATTGTTCCCTAAGAATTTCCCAACACCATTAAATATTCTTGGGAAAAAATGATTTGGCAGGATTGTATCCCATTTCATCACTTGGAAATACTATAATCTCCACTTATTGGATTTTTAATTTCTAATTGTATTTTAAAATCTTTAATAGTGAGGGACACCTGGAGGCTGGAGTGCAATGGCATGATGTCAGCTCACTACAATCTCTGACTCTCAGGTTCCAGCAGTTCTCCTGCCTCAGCCTCTCAAGTAGCTGGGATTACAGGCATGCGTCACCAAGCTCAGTTAATTTTGTGTTTTTAGTAGAGACGGAGTTTGACTATGTTGGTCAGGCCGGCCTCAAACTCCTGACCTCTGGTGATCCACCCGCCTAGGCCTCCCAAAGTGATGGGATTATAGGCGTGAGTCGCTGCACCTGGACTGTTTGTTTATTTATTTATTTATTTTTTATTATACTTTAAGTTCTGGGATACATGTGCAGAACGTGCAGGTTTGTTACATAGTATACAGGTGCCATGGTGGTTTGCTGCACCCATCAACCTGTCATCTACAATAGGTATTTCTCCTAATGCTATTCCTTTCCTTGCTCCACACTCCCCAACAGTCCCCAGTGTGTGATGTTCCTCTCCCTATACCGAAGTGTTCTCATTGTTCAACTCTCACCTATGAGTGATAACATGTGGTATTTGGTTGTCTGTTCCTGTGTTAGTTAGTTGAGAATGATGGTTTCCAGATTCATCCATGTCCCTACAAAGGACATGAACTTATTCTTTTTCATGGCTGTATAGTATTCTGTGGTGTACATGTGCAACACTTTCTTTATCCAGTCTATCATTGATCGGCATTTGGGTTGGTTCCAAGTCTTTGCTATTGTGAACAGTGCCACAATAAACGTATGTGTGCATGTGTCATTATAGTAGAATGATTTATAATCCTTTGGGTATATACCCAGTAATGGGATTGCTGGGTCAAATGGTATTTCTAGTTCTAGATCCTTGAGGAATTGCCACACTGTATTCCACAATGGCTGAAATAATTTACACTCGCAACAGTGTAAAAGTGTTCCTATTTCTCCACATTCTCTCCAGCATCTGTTGTTTCCTGATGTTTTAATGATTGCCATTCTAACTGGCGTGAGATAATATCTCATTGTGGACTTGATTTGCATTTCCCTAATGACCAGTGATGATGAGCTTTTTTTTTTTATTTGTTTGTTGGCTGCATAAATGTCTTCTTTTGAGAAGTGTCTGTTCATATCCTTCACCCAGTTTTTGATGGGGTTGTTTTTTTCTTATAAATTTGTTTAAGTACCTTGTGGATTGTGGACATTAGCCCTTTGTCTGATGGATGGATTGCAAAAATTTTCTCCCTTTCTGTATGTTGCCTGTTCAATCTGATGATAATTTCTTTTGCTGTGCAGAAACTTTTAATTAGATCCCACTTGTCAGTTTTGGCTTTTGTTGCCATTGCTTTTGGTGTTTTAGTCATGAAGTATTTGCTCGTACCTATGTCCTGAATGGTATTGCCTAAGTTTTCTTCGATGGTTTTTATGGTTTTAGGTCTTATGCTTAAGTCTTTAGTCCATCTTGAGTTAATTTTTGTATAAGGTATAAGGAAGGGGTCCAGTTTCAGTTTTCTGCATATGGCTAGCCAGTTTTCCCAACACCATTTATTAAGTAGGGAATCATTTCCCCATTGCTTGTGTTTGTCAGGGTTGTCAAAGCTCAGATGGCTGTAGATGTGTGATGTTATTTCTGAGGCCTCTGTTCTGTTCCATTGGTCTATATATGTGTTTTGGTAATAGTACCATGCTGTTTTGGTTACTGTAGCCTTGTGGTATAATTTGAAGTTAGGTAGCATGATGCCTCCAGCTTTGCTCTTTTTGCTTAGGATTGTCTTGGCTATACAGGCTCTTTTTTGGTTTCATGTGAAATTTAAAATAGTTGTTTCTAATTCTGTGAAGAAAGTCAGTGGTAGCTTGATGGGAATAGCACTGACTCTTTAAATTACTTTGGGAAGTATGGCCATTTTCATGATATTGATTCTTCCTATCCATGAGCATGGAATGTTTTTCCATTTGTTTGTGTCCTCTCTAATTTCCTTGAGCAGTGGTTTGTGGTTCTCCTTGACAAGGTCTTTCACATCCCTAGTAAGTTGTGTTCCTGGGTATTTTATTCTCTTTGTAGCAATTGTGAATGGGAGTTCACTCATGATTTAGCTCTCTGTTTGTCTATTATTGGTGTATAGGACTGCTCGTGATTTTTGCACATTGATTTTGTATCCTGAGGCTTTGCTGAAGTTGCTTATCAGCTTAAGGAGATTTTGGGCTATCATGATGGGGTTTTCTAAATATACAATGTCATCTGCAAACAGAGGCAAATTGACTTCCTCTCTTCCTATTTGAATACCCTTTATTTCTTTCTCTTGCCTGATTGCCCTGGCCAGAACTTCTAATACTATGTTGAATAGGAGTGGTGAGAGAAGGCATCCTTGTCTTGTTCCAGTTTTCAAAGGGAATGCTTCCAGCTTTTGCCCATTCAGTATGATATTGGCTGTGGGTTTGTCATAAATAGCTCTTACTCTTTTGAGGTATGTTTCATAAATACCTAGTTTATTGAGTGTTATTAACATGAAGGGTGTGGCCTTTTCTGCATCTATTGAGATAATCATGTGGTTTTTGTCATTGGTTCTGTTTATGTGATGGATTATGTTTATTGATTTGCATATGTTGAACCAGCATTGCATACCAGGGATGAAGTTGACTTGATCGTGGTGGATAAGCTTTTAGATGTGCTGCTGAATTAGATTTGCTAGTATTTTATTGAGGATTTTCGCATCAATGTTCATCAGGGATATTGGCCTGAAGTTTTCTTTTTTTGTTGTGGCTCTGCCAGGTTTTTGGTATGAGGATGACACTGGCCTCACAAAATTAATTAGGGAGGAGTCCCTCTTTTTCTATTGCTTGGAATAGTTTTAGAAGGAAGTGTAACACCTCCTCTTTGTACCTCTGCTAGAAATCTGTTGTGAATTTGTCTGGTCCTGGGCTTTTTTTTTTTTTTTATTATTGGTAGGCTATTAATTACTGCCTCGATTTCAGAACTTGTTATTGGTCTATTTAGGGATTCCACTTCTTCCTGGTTTAGTCTTGGAAGGGTGTATGTGTCCAGGAATTTATCCATTTCTTCTAGATTTTCTGGTTTATTTGCATAGAGGTGTTTATAGTATTCTGTGATGGTAGTTTGTATTTCTGTGGGATCAGTGGTGATATCCCCTTTATCCTTTTTTATTGTGTCTATTTGATTATTCTCTCTTTTGTTCTTTATTAGTCTGGCTAGGAGTCTATCTATTTTATTAATCTATTTTAAAAACACCTCCTGGATTCACTGATTTTTTTGAAGGGTTTTTTTTTGTGTGTGTGTGTCTATCTCCTTCAGTTCTGAGCTGATCTATTTCTTGTCTTCTGTTAGCTTTTGAATTTGTTTTATCTTGCTTCTCTAGTTCCTTAATTGTAATTTTAGGGTGTTGATTTTAGATCTTTCCTACTTTCTCATGTGGGCATTTAGTGCTATAAATTTCCCTCTAAACACTTCTTTAGCTGTGTCACAGAGATTCTGATACATTGTATCTTTGTTCTCACTGGTTTCAAAGAACTTATCTATTTCTGTCTTAATTTCCTTATTTACCCAGTAGTCACCCAGGAGCAGGTTGTTCAGTTTCCATGTAGTTTTGCAGTTTTGAGTGAGTTTCTTAATCCTGAATTTTAATTTGGTTGCACTGTGGTCTGAGAGACTGTTTGTTATGATTTCCTTTCTTTGGTATTTGCTGAGGAGTGTTTTACTTCCCATTATGTGGTTGATTTTAGAGTAAGTGCAATGTGGTGCTGAGAAGAATGTATGTTCTGTTGATTTGGGATAGAGAGTTCTGTAGATGTCTATTAGGTCCACTTGATCCAGAGCTGAGTTAAAGTCCTGAATATCCTTGTTGATTTTCTGTCTCATTGATCTGTCTAATATTGACAGTGGGGTGTTAATGTCTCCCACTATTATTGTGTGGGAGTCTAAGTCTCTTTGTAGGTCTCTAAGAACTTGCTTTATGAATCTGGGTTTTCCTGTATTGGGTGCATATATATTTAGGATAGATAGCTCTTCTTGTTGCATTAATCCCTTTACCATTACGTGATGCCCTTCTTTGTCTGTTTTGATTTTTGTTGATTTAAAGTCTGTTTTATCAGAGACTAGGATTGCAACCCCTGCTTTTTTTTTTTCTTTCCATTTGTTTGGGAAATATAACTCCATGTTTCTATTTTTAGCCTGTGTGTGTCTTTGCACATGGGATGGGTCTCCTAAATACAAAACACAGAAGGGTCTTGACTCATTATCCAATTTGCTAGTCTGTGTCCTTCAATTGAGGCATTTAGCCCATTTACATTTAAGGTTAATATTGTCATGTGTGAATTTGATCCTGTCATCATGATGCTAGCTGGTTATTTTACACATTGGTTGATGCAATTTCTTCATAGTTTCGATGGTCTTTACATTTTGTTATGTTTTTGCAGTGGCTGGTACCAGTTGTTTTTTCTTTTTTTTTTTTTTTTCCATATTTAGTTATTCATTCAGGAGCTCTTGTAAGGCAAACCTGGTGGTGACAAAATCCCTCAGCATTTGCTTGTCTGTAAAGGATTTTATTTCTCCTTCTCTTATGAAGCTTAGTTTGGCTGGATGTGAAATTCTGGGTTGAAAATTCTTTTCTTTAAGAATGTTGAATATTGGCCCCCACTCACTTCTAGCTTGCAGGGTTTCTGCAGAGATATCTGCTGTTAGTCTAATGGGCTTCCCTTTGTGGATAATTGGACCTTTCTCTCGGGATACTGTTAACATTTTTTCCTTCATTTCAATCTTGGTGAATCTGACAGTTACGTGTCTTGGGGTTGCTCTTCTCAAGGAATATCTTAGTGGTGTTCTCTGTATTTCCTGAATTTGAATGTTGGCCTGTCTTGCTAGGTTGGGGAAGTTCTCCTGTATAATATCGTGAAATGTCTCTTCCAACTTGGTTCAATTCTCCCCATCACTTTCAGGTACACCAATAAATCATAGGTTTGGTCTTTTCACATAGTCAATATTCCTTGGAGGCTTTGTTAATTCCTTTTCATTCTTTTTTTCCTCTAATCTTGTGTTCACACTCTATTTCATTATGTTGATCTTCAGTTTCTGATATCATTTCTTCCACTTGATTGATTCAGCTATTGATACTTGTGTATGCTTCATGTATGCTTCACAAAGTTCTCATGCTGTGTTTTTCAACTCCATCAGGTAATTTATGTTCTTCTCTAAACTGGTTATGCTAGTTAGCAGTTCTTGTAACCTTTTATCAAGGTTCTTAGCTTCCTTGCATTGGGTTAGAACATGCTCCTTTAGCTTGGAGGAAATTGTTATTACCCCTGAAGTCTACTTCTGTCAGTTCATCAAACTCATTCTCTGTCCAGTTTTGTTCACTTGCTGGTGAGGAGTTGTGATCCTTTGGAGGAGAAGATGCATTCTGGTTTTTGGAATTTTCAACATTATTGCACTAGTTTTTCCTCATCTTTGTGGATTTATCTACCTTTGGTCTTTGATGCTGATGACCTTTGGATGGGGTTATTGCATTGCATCCTTTTTGTTGATGTTGATGTTATTGCTTTCTGTTTTTTTTTTTTTTTTTTTCTGAGAGTCAGGCCCCTCTTCTGCAGGTCTGCTGGAGCTTGATGCATGTCCATGCCAGACTCTGTTTGCCTGGGTATCACCAGTGGAGGCTGCAGAACAGCAAAGTTTGCAGCCTGCACCTTCCTCTAGAAGCTTCACCCCAGGGGGTCACCCTCCAGATGCCAGCTGGAGCTCTCCCGTATGAGGTGTTTGTTGACCCCTCCTGGGCAGTGACTCCCAGTCAGGAGGCACAGGGGTCAGAGACCCACTTGAGGTGGCAGTCTGTCCCTTAGCAGAGCTCTATCACTGTGCTGGGAGATCTGCTGCTCTCTTCAGAGCTGGCAGGCAGGAACATTTAAGTCTGCTGAAGCTGTAGCCACAGCCGCCCGTTTCCCCAGGTGCTCTGTCCCTGGGAGTTGGGAGTTTTATCTATAAGCCTCTGACTGCAACTGCTGCCTTTCTTTCCTAGATGCCCTGCCCAGAGAGGAGGAATCTAGAGAGGCAGTCTGACTACAGTCGCTTTGCCACACTGTGGTAGGTTTTGCCCAGTATGAACTTCCCGGTGGCTTTGTTTACACTGTGCAGGGAAAATCGCCTACTCAAGCTTCAGTAATGGTGGACACCCCTCCCCCCACCAAGCTTGAGTGTCCCTGGTTGACTTCTGACTGCTATGCTGGCAGTGAGAACTTCAAGCTAGTGGATCTTAGCTTGCTGGGCTCTGTTGCGGGGAGACCCGCTGAGCAAGACCACTTGGCTCCCTGGCTTCAGTCCCCTTTCCAGGATAGTGAATGGTTCTGTCTCGCTGGGGTTCCAGGCACCACTGGGGTACAAAAAAAACAAAACAAAACAAAACAAAACAAAACAAAACAAAACAAAACAAAAACACTCCTACCTAGCTCAGTGTCTGACCAAACAGCTGCCCAGTTTTGTGCTTGAAACCCAGGGCCCTGGTGGTGTAGGCATCTGATGGAATCTCCTGGTCTGTGGGTTGCAAAAAACATGGGAAAGGCATAGTATCTGGGCCCAATAGCACTGTCCTTCATGGCACAGTCCCTCACGGCTTCCCTTGGCTAGGGGAAGGAGTTCCCTGACCCCTTGTACTTCCCTGGTGGGGCAACGCCTCACCCTGCTTCTGCTTGCCTTCAGTGGGCTGCATCCATTGTCTAACCAGTCCCAATGAGATGAACTGGGTACCTCAAGTGAAATTCAGAAATCACCCACCTTCTGCATTGGTCTCGCTGGGAGCTGCAGATCAGAGCTGTTCCTATTTGGCCATTTTGCCAGATCCCCTCCCCTTTTTTTAAAATATAAATTCTTAGACTCAGAATATCTGAGTAAAGGGGTGAACCCATTTTTAGGTTTTTGAAGGTCCCCATATCTTGCCTTTGGGACTTTCAAAATAGGCTAAAAAATAGAAACCCTTTCCTGTCTGGACCCTGAGCAAACTGAGAAAAATAAAGAGTAAGGACATGGAGGTCAAAATGTCACAATTGCTAAGATTAGAGTGGAGGATACATCTTAGCTTAAGGGTTCAGTGGGCCTCCTAACTGAAACCCGTGCTAACTGAAACTTAGGACATTTAGGAGCAGTGGGGAGAAAATACCTGCTTCCTGTAGAGAGTGCATGCCCAAGAGAAAAAAAAGAGGTTAGTTGAGGAGACATGTGATATGATTTGGCTCTGTGTCTCCACCCAAATCTCATCTTGGATTATACTCCCATAATTCCCACATGTTGTGGGAGGAACCCTGTGGGAGGTAATTGAATCATGGGAGTGGTTTCTCCTATACTGCTCTCATGATGGTGATTAAGTCTCACAAGATCACATGGTTTCATAAGGAGTTTCTGCTTTTGCTTCTTTCTCATTCTGTCTTGCTGCTGCCAGGTAAGAAGTGCCTTTTTCCTTCCACCATGATTGTCAGGCCTCATTAACCATGTGGAACTGTGAGTCCATCAAACCTACTTTGCTTCCCAGTCTTAAGTATGTCTTTATCAGCAACGTGAGAACAGGCTAATATGACATGCATAATTTCTCTTCCCCCAAGTTACCAATCATGTAAATCACTCTACTCTTTCTTGGTGCAACCAGTGAATAAGCAGGAAACATTTAGGGGTATCATGCATATTGAAATTTTCTCCACATAAAAGGACACATCAAGAGTGGAAGAAGGTGCTGCGCATGGTGGCTTACGCCTGTAATCCAAGCACTTTGGAGGCGGATCACAAAGTCACGAGTTCAAGACCAGTCTAGTCAACATGGTGAAACCCCGTCTCTACTAAAAATACAAAAATTAGCTGAGCATGGTGGCTGGCGCCTGCAACCCCAGCTACTTGGGAGGCTGGGGCAGGAGAATCACTTGAACCCAGGAGACAGAGGTTGCAGTGAGCCAAGATCGCACCACTGCACTTTAGCCTGGGTGACAGAGCAAGACTCCATTTCAAAAGTAAAAATAAAAATAAATAAATAAATAAATAAAATAGAGTGAAAGAAGTATCTTCTTCTTCCAAATATTTACCAAATTGCTTCATTCATCATCTCTTGACTATACTGTTAGGTATTGTGCTAAGCACAAGATGAAACCAGATGAATTAAGACATCATTTCTGCTCTCCGGTGACTTTAGTATGTGTTATTCAGGGGCCTTTCACATTCTTAATTTGATGGGGATTATTTTGTACAGCTCCCTGTGAAATATGAGTATAACCTGCCTTAGCGCTGAGCATATAGCAAAATGGGGCCACAGAGATAAGCAGTAGCTGGAACTGTATTGCTTACTTATTCCCTGAAAGCAGGATGAGAATGTTAGAAATTAATCCTCCTTCAGGACAATGTATGGTGTTCAAAATATCCATTACTACTTGGTCTATCAAGTAGTGATGATAACGATAATAGTAGCAGCTATGCGTTGAATATTTACTATGTGTCAGCTTCTGTGATAATCCCTTTATGAGGGTTTCTCCTTGAGTATTTTTCATAACTCTAGAAGTCAGGTTATAAACTGAGGCTCAGAGAGGTTGTGAGTAACATGTCCAAGGGCATCTAATTACTAGGGAGATGAACTGTAATTGAAATTCAGGTATATATAACTATAGGACTTCAACATGTAACTATTCCTCTTCAAAGTAGAATAAAGAAGCAGGTAATTCCACAGTGAAGTATACTGTAGTCACCGATAAATCTCAGAAAAAGGGATAGTCCACATGTTCAGGCGGATGAGTGACCATCCAGGATATGTGTTAGCAGGTTGCATGGTTCAGGTCAAAGATAGAAAGGGAAAACTACAGGAAAGGTCAGGTCACCACCCTAAGAAGGATCTATGGATACAAGAAGCAGAATTTTCAGAAAGAGCGGCAATAATGAAGGCTCTAAATGAAGCAGAAATTTGGTTCTTAAAATAGGGGTCCAAGATTGAAATATGTATATCATTCCTCATTTCTATATCCTCTCCTAATTAAGTATAATTGATATTTTATGATTGACTACTATAAAATGGGTTTAACAGCCAACTTTCCCAAGGCAGAGGGCATGTTTCTTGAATAGAATTATCTTAAATGGAAAATTGGCTGAAACAAGTGTGTGAATCTGTGTCCTTTGTGAAGCAGGAACCACAGTGGGATTAAATGTGCAAGGACTTTATTAGATAAAATGCCCATGTAAAAGGAAACAGAAGATCAGGAAGGCTGGAAGAGTCACAGTGCAGTAAGCCTAATTGAAGGAGAGGGAGAAGTTGGGTGGAATCATTCTGAACTGCCACACAGTCACCAGACAGTTTGGCAAATCTGTCAGATAGTCTCAAGACTGAGTTGTCCATATCTTCCATGATGGGTCTGTCTTAGTATCCTCTATGAAACTAGTCATTAGCTGGCAGCCTGAGAACAGCATGGTCTCAGTGCAAACGTGTGGATAGATTTCAAAGTGCTTCAGCTGGAACCCTAAGTCACACTCCCTGTAGCAGGAGGTCAGCTAGGCACATTCTCACGATGGCCACAAGTATATTTCAGATTATGCTTCCAAAGTAGAAAAATATTTGTTTCCATTTTATAGTTGAGAAACTGAGACATAGAATGATGATTAATGTCTCCAAGGGCACGTCCTGGTTCTGTGATAGAGACTGAGGTTGCCTGTATGTGAATTGCCTCTCTCTCAAAAGACACTCAAAGTCCTGCTAGAGAAGTTTTCTGAAACCCAAGTGTGCATCAAATCCCCTGGAGGGCTTTTTAAAACAGTCATTGCTGGGCACTATCCCCAGAGTTTCTGACTTTAGAGATCAGGAGTCGGGCCTGAAAATTTGCATTTCTAACAGATTCCCAGGTGATGCTGATAACGCTAGTGGAAGGAACAAACTTTGGGAGCCACTTTATTTTTATTGCTTCTCAGTTCCCTAATCATGTGTGCATGTGTGTGTGTGTGTGTGTGTGTGTGTTTGTGCAACTACAGGGTGGTAAGAGGAAGGGAGAGCAAAGGAAAATGTCTTATTTATTTGACAACTGCCTCTTCTTGCATACATCAAACACTGTGTCTGAATTGTGATAGGTACATGATTAATATTTGTAAAATTAAATTTCTTTTACTCTGGGAAAATTTTTATAAAATATTTAATATAGTGAAAACAGGTCTGTCTTTCCAAATAAAAAATATTTCATATTTCTGCTAGAAAGGATGTCTTCTTAGGAGAAACAGAAGTTGTCTTTGTCTGTCTTCCCTAGCCCTGTGGCATTTAACATCTTCTCTGCTTCAACCACATTACTGAAGCCAGGGAGTACAAGGGAACAGGAACAAGGTGGCAGTCCAAGTGTAATTCCTAGTTTGTAGATGCTTTTGTAATATATGTTTTCATTTTTTGATAAATGCAACAACGGGCACAAGGGAAAATGTGCTGGCTGCTAGTCTTCACATATGATGGTAATACTAAGAGTTCACCAATTCCATTAGGCTGTTGGCTTTGTTATTTTGTGCAGTCAGATGATAAGCAAAGAGTCCTGGAGAGACTTAATCTTTGCTATGGCTGCTGAATAATGAGGACATGACTTGGAAATTTCAGTATGCACTGGCCTTGAGCAACAATAATCACATGTATTCCTGACATTGAGCTAAGAAGTTTATGTACCTATTTTATTTAAGTTGTACAAGAATCATATAATGTTGATATTACTGTTACTCACATTTTACTGATTAAGATTATTAGGCAGATAGGTTAAATAACATGGCTGATCTATGTGTTTGGTGAGTGTTGTGGCTGGTAAGCCATGATTTGAGCCTTGGTTTGTTTGACCACAGTATCTTTACTCTCAAAAACCAACTGAATTGTTTCCTGAGTGCACACTAATGTATCCCAAGGAACAGGATTGTTTAACCCATCTGGCACATACAGCAAAGAAATATCTGAAGCAGAAAGAAGGCTGATGGTTTTACCAGTGTTATGCAGTAAATTAGCAAAGAAGCAGAACTAGAATAAAATTCCCCATGTTCCTGTGTACAGGTCAATAGCTTTTCCAGTTCCCATGTCCTGTAATTTAAGCATCGTTATTTGTCTCTCTGTGCGTTCTTCTCCATGACAACTGGATGTCTTTTAGTCATCCCTCCCATAACTGAATGCTGATACAATTTGTACCTCATTTATACTTATTTATCCTACAAGTTCACTTATATTCTCCCCTTCCCTGTTGGCCCAGTGGTCCTGAGTATGTTCTCTAGTTATTCTCATTTAAATTTATTTTCAAGCCATTTATCCTGGACATTAGATATGATTCAGTGGAAACTTTGTGGCAAAATACAACTCCATCTTGCCTATCTCATTGCAAAGTGGAAGATTGTTTGCTCACTCTTTTTCTATTGTAAATAATTATCAACGAACCCAAAAATGAACTTCTCAGGGATTTCATCACATGGCCAAACAAATGGCAACTTGAGTCAGACGAAGATTTCAATCAGTACACTTGCTAATCTTGTTCAGACATGGAGTAAACCTGGACTACTAAGATTTAGTGACTTTATAATCACATCTTCCAAGGCAAAGCAACTACCCAAATTAAAATAATTGGTTTGCTATTACCTCCTGGACACATAATGTAATTCCTTTCTATCAGTATCTCATGGAAGATAGAATGACAACCCCCCAAATTTGGGGTTGCCAGATAAGCTAATACATTAATTATCATGATGATAACCAATAATATCTTAAATGTTTTTGTCAGTGAGTAGAAAAAGCGAATTCCAAGTAAGAATAAGAACTTTATATCCACTTTATTTCGCATCAAACTTAAATCAAAATAAAATGCCTTCCATCTCTACCTAGATTTTATTATTGGGTTTAAATTATTCCAACCAACACTGATACTTCCCTGTTTACACTTATTATTTATGATAGAGCCTCTGGACCTTATTAACCATAGGATCTGGAAACTGGTAATCCTGTGGAACAGTGGTTTCCAAATTTTAGTCCAAGAATGGGTATTAGTGGATGATGTTTTCACTAGTTTATAATAGAATGAATGAATCTATCTGCACAGAGTATATACTGTCAAAGTTGCCATTCTTTGATCTCCTTGATGGGATCCCCACTGAGACTTGTCTGCTTCTTCGCCACAGCATTTCCACCACCAGATACAGCATGGCACACAGCAAGCATTCAACACATGTTTTTCAGAATAAACAAATAAATGAAGTGTCCTATTTTATAACGAGCTGTTTCTATTCTGTGATTAAGTTCTTTTTTGGGTGTTGAAATATATATATATATATATATTTTTTTTTTTTTTTTTTTTTTTTTCTTGAGACAGAGTCTCACTCTGTTGCCCAGGCTGGAGTGCAATGGTAAGATCTCGGCTCACTGCAACTTCTGTCTCCCAGGTACAAACGATTCTCGTGCCTCAGCCTTCCAGGTAGCTGGAATTACAGATGTGCACCACCATGCCTGGCTAATTTTTGTATTTTTAGTAGAGACGGGGTTTCACCATGTTGGCCAGGCGGGTCACGAATTCCCAAGCTCAGATGATCTGCCCGCCTTGGCCTCTCAAAGTGCTAGGATTACAGGCATAAGCCACTGTGCCCAGTCTATGTCTTTTTTTTTTTTTTTTTTAAAAATAGAAATAATGGCAATAGAAGCAATTTTTAATGCCCTTAATTTGGCAAAAAATAGGGCTAAGCATCCTATCTTTACCACCTAAATTTGTTTTTTTTTTTTAATTTGACTGGATTGAGAACATAATAATCTGGAAATCACTGGTCTAATCTAATTCTCCTATTATAAAAGGAAGAATTGCTGCTCAGAGAGAGGAAATAATTTGCCTAAAATCCCATAACTGCCGGATTATTACTTTTTCACCTATGATTCTTTTTATTTTATAAACTATGTTATGTTATTTATTTGCATACTTATTTGTTGTGCTTTTCTAGATTATTATTGTCTCAGAAACAATACCATAAGCTCCTTGAGACTATGGATCATGCCTCTTGTTTTGTAGGCATACGAATGCCAACTGTCCGGGATGCTGTCCATGGTCCTGAACTTCTGCCATGAAGTCTAAGCCAAGGGGATGCAGACAAAAGTAAGGATTTCCTATTAACTGTCATAATTGTTTTGGGGTATAAATAGAGACAAGAAAAGGATCCCTGGACTTGACATGTAAGCCAAATGAAAATCTGTTATGTGATCACTTCCACGTAGGGCAAAAAATTGATTTATAACATATCAAACACTTCAGAAACATTGATAAGTAACAGAAATTTCACCTTGAATTATGGATTCTGAGACTAGGTCTGAGAAGGTGATTGATATCTCCTGCCTCCCCAACCCTCGAGATACAAACAAACTAAAAAAGATTAAGAAGAGAGACACTTACTCCATCTCATTGAACATTAAGATATTATAAGGAAGGACCACATTTCTATTAAGCCAAAAATAAATTATGTATATCTAAACACAAACAAAAAATGAACTTCAATGCTGACTCAACAAAAATAAATAGGTCTAATAAGATATTTCGTAATTTGGTTTTGTCCAGGCATTTTCTATAGATGCTTGACAAAAAATAACAGACCTTTCTTTAAGTGTATCGTGTTATAATTTTTGCAACTTTCTACTTTACCTATTTTACTTATTCAGAAAAAATCTAATTAGTGATATGATTGAAAGCTCCTTTTATACTACTTGGTGAGAGTGCACACTCTTACTGCAATTGACCTGGTCTACTAAGGACTGTTCTTTTCCTGTCTGGTTCTAATTACAATTATGTTTTATTTTTGCTTCTAACTTAAGTTGTCATTTTTTATATAAGTTTGTGCCTGTTTCTTGCAAAAAATAAGCTTCTTTTAAATAGAGTAAAACTAGGGAGAGCTTCCTCTTTTTTCTTTGCTCTTTTATATTTTATGAATTTATACATTTGTATGCATTAATTGTGCAACTTAAAAAATAAATCTAAAAAATTAAGCTCCAATCTCCTAAAAGACCATGTCCACATATATTCTGCTTGGTTCTAAATTTGCCCATATCAACAAAACTAATTGAAGGAAATAAAAGCTGATTATACTTGGGAAAATTTTACTGCATTTTTTTTTTTTTTTTTTGAGACAGAGTTTCATTCTTGTTGCCCAGGCTGGAGTGCAACGGTGCTATCTTGGCTTACCGCAACCTCCACCTCCCATGTTCAAGCGATTCTCCTGCCTCAGCCTCCCAAGTAGCTGGGATTACAGGAGCCTGCTACCATGCCCAGCTATGCATTTTTAAATTATTTATATACTTGGGACATATACTGGAACAAATATAGCTTTAAATGTTAGCCATAGATAGATAATAAAGAATGAAGCAAGATGGCATCTTGGTCTGTCCTGCAAAATGTCCATAAACCAAAATTGTGGAGGAGTGGATAATTTGGGCATGGCAGCTCTAAGGAGACATATTCAGTATTAGTGTTCCAATCAAACACTTGGCTGTGAGCCGTTGGATGTTACTTGTCTTCCTCCTACTGCAGAATGTCAGCTGAGGAGAGTCTGTTCTTATAAGAAGAAGAAGAAGAAAGGAAAGATAATAGAGAAGCAAGCAATCTTCTGAAATTGCCTTGATGCTACTTAAGTTGCTCTCAGTGCAGTCATAGCCTCAGGGGGTGAAGTCATCCAGTAATGCTGCTGCCATTTGGGGGCACAGTGCCCCATCCCAGGTCTGCTCAGAGAGGCTTATTAATTGCTAGGAGAATGACAAATTTTTTTGTTTATACTCCATGACAATGGACCAAATGGATTAGGACCAGCCCACTCATATACTTTATTCACTTGTTCTCTTAGGATTTATTTGACCTTATAGACAGATTGAGATGCAAGTGTGTGTGTGTGTATGTATGTGTGTGTGTGCGTGTGTGTGGTGGACATGGGGCAGATTTATCAGAAGAATGCAATGCTAAGACAAAAATTTCTGGGGATTTTTAGGCTGGTGAAATTTAGAAAGGGTTAAGTTTTAATTTCTATCTGTTATTACATTTGCACAGCACATTTCCATTTACAAAGTGCTTTCACATTGCAATCTATAATTTGATTCTAACAAGATCAAATTACTAAGACAGAAATAATTATCTTTTTTTTAAGATGATGAAACAAAGGTTAAGTGAGGTTACACTACTTGCCTAAGGTCACATTGTTGCCAAGTGGCATAGCCACGTCTCTCACATCTATTAACACAGTGTTCTCACTCTATTCCCAAATTTGCTAACCAGTAACCACATAATAACTAATCTGTTTGCCTTTATGGTAACTTAAATTCTGAATGTACCAAATAGCTGTGAAATCTGGTTTATCCTTTAAATGATAAGGACATTTCTTTTCCTGGTGTAAAAAGAAAATGTTCTCATAAATTTGCAATATTATACTGCTGACATTCAAATTGTCATCAAAAAGATTATCTCATTTAAATTGCAGAATAATTCTTTGAGATAAATAGGAAAGACAGAGTTTGTCCCAGTTTAGTGTCCGTAGCAGTTCATTTCTTAAACATAAGATGGGCCTCATTAGCCCATCAAGGTCTTTCTAGCCTTGAAGAGTTTCTCCAGACTTATTTTCCTCTAACCATGACTTTACCCTAGATATCTGTCTGTTTTTTTGTTTTCTCTATATCTTGCTGCTTGAAAATTCTATCCTTATTCCTAGTGCTTGGCATCTAGTACTTGAAACTTGACAGAAAATTACACATACCCACTCATTTGAAAAAAAAAAATAGACACTTAAACCCATTTGAAAGGCAGAGGAACTGAGGCCCACAAGTTAAATGACTTACCCAGAAACTGCCTGTAACTCCGGACTAATATAAAAGTGCTGACACTTTACCATTATGGAGACCAATCATGAGGTCTCCCACACTAGAACTGACTGCTAGAGCAAGCATATTAACCATACTTCCTTGGCATACTTCTTCCAGATCAAATAAGGAGGCATTCTCTTTGGCTTAGTGATTTTAGGGGTTGTCACATTTCCTAAACAGCTGTTGCAGTGGTTGACTTATAGCTGGAATTCATTTGATAAACACTCCACTTACTTCTTTCATTATCTCCATCTAATGCCATTGGGAGGGGTTACATATGAAATCTCTTTAACCACTATCCCATTGGCATAAACTAAATTTTCAGTCCCTTCAGGAATAGGAGGGAGGAGAGAGAACATGAGGATAGGTTATGAGGGGAAGGAGGGCTCAGTAATAATCACAGTAATACCTACTTTGATGTTCTAGGTGCTGTTACACAGCTCTACATACATTAACCATCTATTCTTCAAAACAGTTTCATGAGACAATTAACTCATATAGATGAAATATTTTTTTCAAGGCCATAATGCTTGAAGCAGATTTTTGTTTGTTTGTTTCAATACATCCAAGATCATGCCTTTCTACTATACTCTTCTGCTTCAGGCAAGATATCTTCAAAGAATCCAGACAAAGCAGACATAACTTTTTAATGCAAAAATTAACCATAGAGCTTACTGATATTCCAATAGAAAAGACACACTTGCCCGATTTCTGTGTAGGTCCATATCTGTTCCATACCAGTGCACTAGTGCCCTGGGGCCTAGACTTCTACTTATGTACAATACTTTTTAACTATGCTATGTTGGTCTGAGACCTGAAGAATTTGGGATATTACTCAGCAATTTTTAGCAAGAAAGACCACTAAGGATTGTTTTTCCACTTAATTGAAGTCAGCAAGGAACTGAAGACTATCACTGCAGCCCAGAGCAATTAGTTCTGGAAGCAATTCAACCCACATCTTCCTTGGGGCCCGGCCTCAGTCAGTGCAAAAAGGCAGAAATGAGTCTACGGCTTCCCAGGATCCCTAGTTGTTTCCTTTATCTTTCTTGTACATAAGCCTTTCACTTCTCCTTAGAGGCCCAGGTTGTAAGTCATTGTACTCTGCCATGCATTTTTTTTTTTTTTTTGCCACTTTTATACATGTGTAAAGAAAGGTGAGGTTTTTTGGGAAACGAATATCAGACATTGCTCAGTATGTTGGAGAGGGATTTGGACTTGGATTTAGGATTGAAGGCATTTCCTTTACATTTGAAAGCTTATCCCAAAAAAGGAAGTGTGATGCTGGAAAGAGTCTCAAATGAGAATCAGGAGCACATGGGTTCTGGGCTGAGATCAGATTCTGAGCTGCACTATGGTTGTGAATAGCCACATTGAGTGACTTCACACTTCATTCAGTAATTCAGTGTGCCTGTAGATCCAAATACTAGTGTTCAATCCAGCCCTGTAGAAGGCAAAACTTCACCATTGTTGGAGTGCCCACAAGAGTCTCTTTCCAGGCCCTTGGCCTTTTAAAAATAAGTGGACAAATTTGACATATAGAGGGATCATCCTTAGAACTTCCATCAGTGACAAATTTTTATGGGTTGTGAAGTGTGAAATGATTGCTAATGGATACAGGGTTTAATTCATGTGAATGATGAAAATATTCTAATATTGATTATGGGGATGTAAAACTGAATATACTAAAATTATCAAATTTTAAATTTTATATGGGTAAATTATATAGCATGTGAATTATATCTCAATAAAGTTTTTTCCTTTAAGAAAAAGGTATTAGAGATTGTAATCTAGCTTTCTTCAGTGTCTCAGCCCATCTTCTTGTCAGCTTTTATCTTGAGAAATTTGTGCCTTTTGTGAAAAGAAATGCTTCTCCTAAAATAAAGGCAATTATATTCTTCCCACAAGATATTCAGGGCGAGGGTGCACAGTGGGCTTTCTGTCTGTGCAGCTGAAAAGCTAAATAACCATGTATATATTTTTTGATAGAACATTTGTTCTAATTTTCTAGATGCAAATTAGAAATGATTTGAAAACTAAGAAACCTCCTCCATAAATACCTACCTTTGCCCAGGAAAGATAGTTATTTGATCTTTGGGGATAAGTGTTGCAGTCTTTGATTCTCTTTGTAGCTACTAATCTTACATCGAATGAATACCTTCAATCTTCACCTTAGGGTGAATAGATTGATAAAATCTGATTCCTATATTATGATGCGTGTGATTTTATACTTTTGAAATTCTTGAAGATGTTGAAAATTGAAGTAAGGACTGGAAATAGAAGAGAACAGATTAGGGAAGAAAAAGGAGAAAGAAAATGAAATGGTTGAAAAAAGGAAACAATAGTAACAGAATTAAGACCAGACCTCTTAGATTAAAATATTCCTTGTAGGCCGGGGGCTGTATTTCACGCCTCTAATCCCAGCACTTTGGGAGGCTGAGGCGGGCGGATAACCTCAGGTAAGGAGTTGGAGACCAGTCTGGCCAACATGGCAAAACCCCATCTCTACTAAAAATACAAAAATTAGCTGGGCGTGGTGGCGCGCATCTGTAGTCCAAGCTACCCGCGAGGCTGAGACAGGAGAATCGCTTGAACCCGGGAGGCGGAGGTTGCAAGTGAGCCGGGATCACGCCACTGCACTCCGGCCTGGGAGACAAAGCAAGACTCCTTCTCAAATATATGTATATATTCCTTTTATACAGAGAAGTTACATGTTCTCCTTCTTCAACAGCTTAGGTGACTCCACACCAGACAAGGTATGGGGAACAGTTGTATGGAAGATCTACCACTGCCCAACTGCCCTGCCCCTCCCAACATGGAAGATTCTTTTGTGGAATAGCCTCTCCACAAACTCTACTTGTAAAGTTCCTGTAGAAGCAGCCATGTTTTCACATGACCCTTCCTGGCCAGCCCGGGCTATTATTCAGGAGTGAGAACATGCCCAATCTGTAAAAAGAAGTCCCTTCCTTAGGATTTCTGGGATCTAATAAGTTTTTTTCTCACCAATTGAGTAAGCCAAGTTCAAAATAGTCCACAATATTTTTTAACATCTAGGTATCCAAAGGGAGCTTTGAATAGATTTTTAAAATAATTTCAACTTTTACTTTGGATTCAGGGGATACGTGTACAAGAATATTTTCAGTTGTTAGTTCTAAAAAGGTTGATGTTATTTGCTCCGTGAGTAGTTACTGCATACTCCATAGAATTGGAAACAAAACAAAACAAAAAACGCTAAGAAACCTTCTAAAGCTACTGAGAAGTTAGTATTACTTGAATTGATTTAGAATAGTCAAAATCGCACACAATAAACCAGTAATTGACTCTTACACAGCAATTTTCACTTTACTTCCCTGCTAAGCACATGATGCTGCCTTGAATTTTTCTTTTCTTCATTAATTTTATTTATTTATTTATTTATTTTTATTTTTTGAGACAAGGTCTGTCTCTGTCACCCAGGCTGGAGTGTAGTGGCAGAGTCATGGCTCACTGCAGCCTCTACCTCCTGGGCTCAATCAATCCTCCTCCCTCAGCCTCCTGAGTAGCTGGGACTACAGGCACACACCACCATATCTGGCTAATTGTTTTATTCTTATTTCTTATAGAGATGGGTCTCACTGTTACCCAGACTGGTCTTGAGCTGTGGACCTCAAGCAATTCTTCTGCCTCAGCCTCCCAAAGCTTTGGGATTACAGGTGTGAGCCGCTGTGCCCTGCCTGCCTTAAATTTTTAAAATTTCATGATGAAATGTTCAAAGTGATATAATATAATAATAGATAATTGATATCAGGGATAAGATTAATTCTTGGCTGCTTTGCTACTTTTTGGAAAGGGAGAGTATGTCGCTATTACTAATGATATTTCAGGGTCAAAATTACAGCTATTGCTAGCCAAATATTTTTGACATAGAAGGAGCTATCTGAAGTAGAGGAAAGCCTAGGGCCTTGTTCTACCTTCAACTCTGCTCCTAACTAGCTGTGTGAACTCAGCCAAAACCTTTCCGCCTCTGAGCCTTGGTTTCTCCAATTGTCAAATTATGGTATTAGATAAGCTTTAAGTCTTGAATCTAAATATAACATGTATCACTTAAACCATAGCATTAAGCCAGACAAACCTAAAATATCAGCACTATTCTATGCATTACTTTATTAAAACAATTCACAATTTGGGTTCAGGGGAACTTGTGTATAAATGTCAGACCTGCCACATTTTAGTCTTTACTAAGTCAGGTAGATGAGCTAAAGCTCAGTTTTTCTCAAGTTGAAAGAGGGTGTAAGTTGGTACAATAATATCTACTCTATCTTGCAAATTTCTTAGAGAGTGAAATGGAATGTTGCATGGGAATATAGGTATACTTTCATGTTTTTTTATGGCAGTAAAAATGGTAGGAATGGTAACTAAGTAATTGTGAGACCAGTGTATGTTTATTGAGCACTTAGTATATGTCACACACTGCCTTGACCACTCTACATGCACTGTTCCAATTCATCCTCATAACAATTTTTTCAGAAAGCTACCTTAATTTCCTCATTTTACAGCTAGAGTAACAGACTCAAAATGTTTAAGTTACTTGCTCAATGACATAGTTAAGAAATGGTGGCACTAAGATGCAAACCTCAGGCAATCTGACTCAAGCATGAGCTTTTACCCACTGTGTTATATTGATTTATTCCTCCATGAAATAGATTCAGATTTATATGTGAGGTTTTTACTTCCAGCAATGTTCTTGTTTGAAACCAAGATTTCTACTAAGAATACCAGAAAACCTATACCCCAAAAATCTGTTTAAAGATATTAGAGAGCTACTAAGGCAGTGAGCAATCAAGGAGCTCAGATCCCAGAGAAAAGAGAAACTCAGAGATATAAAGGTAGCATTCAGCACCATTTTCCCTTTGAGGCATCAGCCAATTCAAAAACTGCAGCTGAAAGACTAAAAAGCCGAGTCAAACTTTTGGCAGTTTCATGGTGTTGGGGGACACAAGTTGTACTGTAAAGCTCATCAAGAGTAACATCACTGGTATTTAACTGTGACCTCACTTTAATAGTAAGAATGAACTGGAAGTAGATTAGCCCTCAAAAGAGGCTGAAGTTGCTCTGTAAATAAACTTAATCCTTGATCATATTAAGATGATATGGTTCTCCTCAAACTACCTATTATAAGCAAAAGCAAATCTCTAAAGGCAGATGACATCATCCAAAGCCTCGAAGATCCTTTGTGATTTTTCCATATACAATAAAAATAAAAAATTGAGTAAAAATTACTGGATACCAGGCATTGATCAATTACTATGAGAATATAACAGAACTACAAGAGATCCAGATATAGGAGCTATGAATTTAACATAACTATAACTAATACAGTAGTTGCCACTTATCCATGGAAGATATGTTTCAAGAGCCCCAATGGATGGCTGAAATCTCAGATAGTACCAACCCTACATATACTATGTTTTTTTCTATATATACATACTTATGATAAAGTTTAATTTATAAATTAGGTACTATTAGAGATTAACAATGATAATTAATAATAAAATAGAACAATTATAACAATATACTCTAATATTTTCTTTTTTTGCAGTTTCACAGATAAGATCTTAATTCTTATCATAGATCTTAGCAACCTTGGCATAATTTTTTATTCTTATTAAGTTAAAAACTTCCACCCTTTCACTTCAAGGAAGCACTTTCTGGCTTCTCTTTGGCATATCCAAATTGCCAGAATCACTAGTCTTGTGATTTGGGCATTGTTGAGTAAAATAGGAGTTACTTGAACATGAGCACTGAGATACTGTGACAGTCTATCTGATAACTGAGATGGCTAGGAATTGACTAACAGGCAGGTGATGTCTGCAGCATAAATATGCTGGAAAAAGGGATGATTCATGTCCTGGGCAGGTTAGAGCAGTATGGCATGAGATTTCAATGCACTACTCAGAATGTTGTGCAATTTAAAATTTATGAATTGTTTATCTCTGGAATTTCCCATTTAATAATTTCAGACTGCAGTTGACCACAGGTAACTGAAACTACAGAAATTAAACTTGCAGACAAGATGAAACTACTATATGCTGAAGATATTAAAAGATGAAACAAATAATTTTCATAGGAAATGCATATTTATAACAAAGAATAAAATAGAAATTCCAGAACTAAAACCTATAATATCTCAAATTAATAACTCACTAGATAGGTTTAACAGTATATTTGTTAGAAAGCAAAAGTAGAGTAGTCGGAAGAAAATATTCAGCTTGAAACATAGTCAAAAGAATGAAAATGCAGAAAGAACGCAAGGGACATGCTCTTTTAAAAAGGTTTAATTTAGGTATAATTGAAGTCCTAGAAGGAGGGAAGAGAAAGAATAGGGAAGAAGGAGGTCTTTAAGAGACAATGATTTAGAACTTTTCCAACTAAATAATTGTATATGTGGACTTTTTTCAATTTTGACACTAAATTATAAATTAAAGTTTATAGTTTGGGGTTATTTTTACTTACTGTTTAGCTGGAAGAGACCATTGAGATAGTAAAAATGTGAAGCCATCTTGAAATAATAGTTGAAAAAATATGAACATTTAGGGACATTGCACTTTAAAAACAGAGTGGACCTTTGATTATGTGAAATTTGTTGGAATGAATGAGAAATGCCAAGAAAAAAGAAAGAAATTTGGGTTCAGAAGTCTTCCTTCGTCACATATGTGGGGCAACAGGAAGGTCATGGGTTTAGGATCAAAAGATTACGAATTTAGACCTTCTGATTAATTGTTTAATTCAGCTTCTCTGAGCCTCAGCTAAAAATAGGAATGAGAATGCATTCCTTTTTCTTTTTTTCTTTTTTCTTTTTTTTTTTTTGAGACGGAGTCTCACCCTGTCACCTAGGGTGGAGTGCAATGGCAAGATCTTGGCTCACTGCAACCTCCGCTTCCTGGGTTCAATTTATTCTCCTGCCTCTGCCTCCCGAGAAGCTGGGATTACAGGCGCCCGCCACCATGCCCAGCTAATTTTTGTATTTTTAGTAGAGACGGGGTTTCACCAGGTTGGCCAGGCTGGTCTCTCTCCTGACCTCAGGTGATCCACCCGCCTCGGCCTCCCAAAGGGCTGGGATTACAGGCATGAGCCACCGCGCCCCACCTGATAATACATTCATTATTGAGTTTTTATGATGGCTAATGTAAAGTTTTTATGATGATAATGTATACAGATAATTGGCTTAATAACTGCCACATTCAGGGTGCTCCATTAATGTTAGTCTGGCCTTTCCCCTTTTTAAATTTCTATGTTAATGATGAAATTTGATTCTGACTTCTGTGCAGGATTTCTTATGTTCTGGTCAAGGTAGCAATGGTCTTTTGCTGAGCAGAACCGTAAATAAGAAATTACAAAGTGTTCAGGTGCAGAAAAGTTTTACTATCAATACCACTGTGAAAATTCAGTTGCCCAGATGTTTGGAGAAAAAAGACAAGGTAGATATTTAGAATTTACAGATACTTCTGGAAAACCTAAGGTCCTAATCAGTAGAAAAGGAATCAAGTAATAGATAAATCTCTCAGTCTTCAAGAACACTTACCAATATTCAGAGGAATATTTTGAGGATCCCTCCCACGTGCCCATTTCTGGTGAGATGGTTTTATTCCATCGGTGGGTTTTGGATTGTATTTCAATTTCATCACTAGAGCTCTTTCTTTTTCCCTAATAGTAGGTAATTTGACATTTCTTTTATTCCTGTTTCTCATTGGTGGTATAATCTCAAAATTAGCACCTGTAAAAAGAAGGGAAGGAAATGGGATTGGCCAGAGAGGGAAATTGAGCTATGAAGCAGATCCAGTGACATCACTGGGCAACCCCACAGGAAACCCTTACTGGATTTCTTATTTTCTACCTTGTCAACCTACCCAAAACATGATATTAAATAACACACACTGAGCAGTTTCTACCCAAGTATACCAAAAGCAAAGTATGTGTGCATGTGTCGCGGGGGAATGTGACTAATGTCTATCCCAGTGTCAACCAAGGTCTTCCCATTGCCTACAGTATACTTCCAAAGATCTCAAACCCTTCTAATAAATGTCCTTCCACTATATTTAGGTTGTTGTGAAGGCTGTCTGAAGGTTTAAAATATAGAAAGCTTTTAATAACTGTTAGTTATTATAATGATAAGTTTGATGGTAATAATGGTGGCCAGTATTTTCCAGCAGAAGTTTCAGACACTTTGTAAGATAAATAAAAGAAAGTCATTTCTATCAATGGGGAAATGTATGATGCATGCTAAAGAGATACTAGAGGTTGAAACTATAATAAGGTTTTAGAAAGAAGATTAATTCACGACTGACTACTAACTCTACCACAGATAATTTAGAAGAGGAGACAACTCTATCTTGTGATCATGGAGATAAGTTTTCCAGAATGCATTCATGTCCCTACTCTTTGGAACAAAAACTCTCAATCTTCCAAACTACTAAAGCCAGGCAGCTTGCCCCCATGGAGATGATGAGAGAAGGTCATTCTCTGTTCTCAAGTGAGAGGGATTCTCTCTAGCTCTGACAACTTTCAGGACACTGTATAGCTTAAAGAGAAGAGTCAAGATTATAAACTGTGGTCTGTATTTTTTTGGTTCTCTAAATTAATTTGTGCCACAGGGACATACTTGTACAGGCAAGTTTCATAGTATTTGGGGAAAAAAAGGCATCCTTGTTAGAAGTTTGAAAGGCTAGAGTCATGTGGATTGGCTTAGGCCATTGGTAAGATTAGCAACAGAAGGCTAATGTGCTCTCTAGGTTCCCCTGCAAGGACTTGTGGTCTGGGCTACTGGGATTGTGTCAGCTATAGAGGGTCACTTCACCCAAAGTAATGTTCTTCCCTGAAGGCCTACATCCATGGTCTGATCAAGGTTGGTATATAAAAATCTGGCCATTTCTCGATATGGTGGGGTAATTCTGATGGGCCAAATGAAGTTCTTGGGTTCCCCATGGAGTTGGCCAAGGATATCATCAAATCTGCTTCATAGCTTAACTTATCTCTCTGTTAATCCTGATTCCTTCCTTGTCTTTCATAGTTGTTAATTCTAAGGGCACTCCTCAGTAAAATATCCTGTACATTAAACTGTTTCAGAGTCTGCTTCCCAGAAAACCCAAGCGGTGACAGATTTCTATTGGGTGATAGACATCTGTCACGTGGGGTGGTAGAAAAAACAATAATGGACTTGAAGAATAAAAGTTATGTGTTCCAGTGCTGTCTGTGTCAGTTACCTATGTGACCTTGGGTTAGGCATCTCACATCTCTCAATGATAGGCCTATCTCTCTCTCTCTCTCTCTCTCTCTCTCTCTCTGTGTGTGTGTGTGTGTGTATAAAAATAGCTGCTTCATATAAAAATGAAAGAATGGTGTTGAAAGTACCATAAAGATGAAAGATTGTATCATAATTTGTAAACCCCAAAGCATAATGAGGATGATAATTATGAAACCCTCATTGGATATTTCTTTAACCTCCGAGCAAGCCCTTGCTGGTTATTGTTCCTGTATTAATATGTAAGCACAAATACTAACATGTTACTCTCTGGGATGCTCTAGAAAACAGATTTGGAAGGAGCTCTTACATAGCCACTGAGGCTGGAAAATACAGGAATATGTGATTCTCTCAAAATGAATAGGCATAAATATAACTTGTTAAAAAATAGATGGCTGAGCATTTATTGTAATTATCTACATTTGTATTCATGAAGCACAATTTCATACTCTTTCATCTCAAAATTGAGATTTCTGTGAGAGAGGAATACAGAGAGCTACTGTATGATATTTAGTTTGAATTGTATGGTGTTTTCATTTTCTTCCAGAGAGAAGTGTTAATGTTTCATATTTTGAAGATACCACAAAGAACAAAACTAGACAGAATTTGAAGAATTGGGTAAACATGCACCTTATAGCTCTATCTATAACAGAATCAGAAATCACAAAGTCCAATTTCAGTGCAGAAAACTAGACATTTATGTCTGGTTTCAAGCAGCCTATGACTATGTCCGTATATAATAAACAACAAGAAAGTGTCTACCAATTAAACGGACTTCCAAGTCTCAAGCATTCCTTTATGTTTATTCATCCTCCCATAATAATTTAATGTACATTGTAGAATGCTACATAGAAGGAGTATTCGTCCTTTTTTGTTCAATATTGTATCCCCAGGGTTTGGCATAATAGTTGGTATGGGGTCAGTGCTCAAAAGTATTTGTTGAATTACTGCATGAATAAATGAATAAAAGCATTGTTCTAGGTTCTCTAGCTGAGAGCTGAAATGAATTACACAGTGACCATAGATACACATTTCCTCCTTATTTCTCTACCAAATGCCCCCTCATCTGCTCAGGCTGTAAATATTGCTAGCTGTCAAGGTTTCCACTTTCTAGACTCTACATAGGCAATTTCATCAAACTCAATTTTTTTCTTTTAAAAAAATAAATTGAAAGTATACATTCAGAACAATACACAGATCATAAGTCAACACTATCATAGATTTGTACAAGATGAATACACTCATAAAACTGGACATCAGGATATGGAATATTATAAGCAACCCCAAAGCGTCCATCAAGCCCAGTCTCAGTATTATTCCCTATCTTTCACAATGATTTCGGTTTTCACAAGAATTTAGTTTTACCTGTTTTTGAACTTTATATAAATGGAAACACACAACGTATATTTTCATGTTTGGCTTCTTTCACTCAATATTATGTCTGAGAGATTCATTCATTCTGTTGGGTATAGTAATGGTTACTTCATTTTCACTTCTGGGTATTACCCATTGTATGAATAGAACAGAATATGGAATATATTTATCCATTCTGCTGTTGATGGGCATTTGGCACTTGTGTTGTTTCCAGCTTCGGCTGCTAGGGTTGTTGTTGCTTTGAATAATTCTGCATACCCTTTGTTGGACATAGTTAACATTTTGTTGAGCATATATTTAGAAGTATAATAGGGTATGCATTTTTCAATTTAAATGTATATTACCAAAGCATTCTCCAAAGTAGTTGTATTGGTTCAGCAATGCATAAGAGTTCCAACTGCTCCACCTCCCTGCAATTTTTGTCCTTTTAATTTCAGCCTTTCTGGTGGATGTGTAATGGTATCTCACAGAGGTTTTAATCTGCATTTTCTTAATAAATAATAAAATTGAGCTCCTTTTCATGCTTACTGGTAATTTGGATATCCTTTTTGGTGAAGTGCTTTTCTGGTCATTTTTCCATTTTTCATTGATTTTAAATAGTTTAATGTATTCTGGTTGTGAGTCCTTGTAATATAAATGTGTTGCAAAGATATTCTCCAAGTTTGTGGCTTGACTTTTACTCTTTTTTCATGGATTTTATTTTGTTTTGTTTTATTTATTTATTTTTGATGAGTGACATTCTTAAATTTGAAATAGTTCTTCATAAGAAAACTTTTTTCCTCTTGAGGTGATTAAGATAATCTTCTATGATATCTTCGAAAGCTTTATTGTTTTACACCTTCTGTTTAGATCAACATTCTACCTATAATTAATTTTTCCATATAGCATGAAATAGAAATTAAGATATATTTTTTCCGCATGGATATCCAATTGATCTAGCATAATTTATTGAAAAGCCCATAATTTCCCTACTTCACTGTAGTGTCTTCCATCTTTGTCATCGAGCAAGTAACCATATGTATAAGAGCCTGTTTCTGGACTTACTATTTTATTCCACTTGTCTCTTTATTTCTATTTTTGTGCTAATACAGTATGCTTATAGTTACTGTTACTTTATAATAAATTATGAAACTTATAGTCAATCTTCCAACTTTCTTCTTTCAAGAATATGGTACTGGCTCTTCTTATCCCTTTGAGTTTTCATATTATTTTAGAATCAGTCTATGACTTTTCTTTCTCTCATTTTCTCTTTCTCTGTTTCTCATTCACACAGGAACCTTTAGCAAAGTTGACTAAATATTTGAAAACCAATAAATGCAACTTACCACACTACCAGAAAAAGAAGAAAAATACAAGTATATATTTTCATGCTATATACCCTTTGAATTCCACAATATATTATTCTTAATGTTCTTATTATTTTATGGTTATTAATATAGTTTATTATTGTTGTTACTTTCTATTTTCATTGCTCATTGCATTTCCATGCTTACATCTAGTATTATATTTTTTTCTCCTGAGGAATTCATATGTACATATATATTGTTACCAGTCTTGACCACTTTGCAATCTTGCCTATTCATTGATGTCTTCCTTCTTCTTGAATTACTCTCTGCTTTTGTTTCCATTACTTAACTAATTTTCTTTGTTCCACAATGGCCCCACTTTCTTTAAGTTTATATAAATGGAAACACACAATGTACATTTTTGTGTCTGGCATCTTTCACTCAGCATTATGTCTGTGAGGTTCATTCACTTTTTGGGGTATAGTAATGATGACTTCATTCTCATTTCTGGCTATTACCCATTGTATAAATATAATACAATATATTTATAACACAATATATTGTATGTATGGGTAACACATACATTCTTACCAGTCTTGACCACTTTGCAATATTGCTTATTCATTGACTGCTTCCATCTTCTTGAACTGCTGTCTGCTTTTGTTTCCATGACTCAACTCTCTTCTGATTTTCTTCGTTCTTCACTGGCCCATTTTCTCTGTCCTTTGTTGTCTCATTTTCCTCTGCCTGACTCTTACATGTTAATGCTTCACAGGGCTCTGTTCTGCTAGCCTCACTGTCTTCACCTGTATTGCAAATGCTCAAGTAGAAAGACAAGTCCCTTAGGGAAGCAGAGAAAAAGCTCTTGGTGGAAGAGGATAGGCCATGGAGTTTATCTTTTTGTGTGTGTGTGTGTGTGTGTGTTACACAAGAATCAATAATACTGCTTTTCACCTCTTACTAGTGATCGGGTGAAGCTACTTACTTCTATGCTTCAAATAACTCAAATGCTGACTCCTAAACCTCCTGAAGTTCCTCAGACTTTTTATCTGAGCTTCAGAATTGTACATCTAAATATTAAGTGCATGGTCACATTTAAATGTCTCAAAAATACCAAATACTGAACATATCCCAAGACAAACATAATTCAGCCCTATTCTGTCTTACTGTATACTGTATCTCTTTGAATGGTGTGATACCATCTCTGACCGAATGCTCAAGCCAAAAAACTAGGAGTCCTCTATGTTTCCTTCTTGTCAATACCCAGCTCAGATGTTACATCCTCCCATCTGCTTCTTTCAGGAATTTCAGTTGCATTGTGTGTGTGAAATATTGTATATATTATGCCACTGTATTACATGTTTTTGGCATGTCTATCCTCTTTACCTGACTGTGAGTTACTCAGTGGCAGATACTGTGTCATATTCACTTTTGAGCACCCAGCACCTAGCATGGCATATTATTTGTAAATACATATATTATTAATATTATTAACCTGCATTAGTATGATCCATCAGAGCTTTTAAAATAAGCACATATATTAACAGATCTGCATATTTCCAGGTTAAGTGAATAAGTGTTATGGAAGTAGAACAGATGTATTACTGAGGTGTTCACCAGAAGGAAAAATTTGGAGGTGGGGGGTGGGTAGGGAACATCAAGAAAATCTTTATCAAGCAAGTGGCAGATACCATAGGACCACTGAAATGGCAGGGGGATATTCTAAACTGCTACTAACTATTGGTGTCTCCTGGAACAAATTGTATAACATGTATAACCCTCAGTTTTCTCATATGTAAAATGGGGATCATTATAGTTTTTGATTATGCCTATAGAATTAAGTGAGATATACATGTAAACTACTTAGGAAAGTGCCTAGCACACAATAACCACTGAAGAAATGTTAGATGTTAATATTAATAAAAGAAAAACTCAAGCATTGGCACAGTCAAGAAAGTACATGGTGCAAGTAAAGGACAGCATATCTGAGTAGTTTGAAGAAAAAGACATGAAGGAGAGTATTGAAATTTTAAGCTATCAAGTGAAGAGAGATTTAATTTATAGAAAACATTAAATGCTTTCTCCTAAGTAGACTGAAACCTGAAATATGCAATCATCTGAATTATAGAAATTAATAGAAGTAGGGCCAGAGGAGGCATATAGCCAGCAGGTAGGCTTTACTAACTCAATTCTGTGCCCCTGTCAGACAATACTAATTAATGCCACGCCCAGATGTGGCCTCAAATTCTCAATAAACTGGCCTGACAGACAGTGCTAATCAATCAGTAATGTGCTTGCTATCTCTGAGTAGTAAGTGTCTGTGAAGCTCCATTTAATTTTCCATGTTCAGACATAGCCAAATTAATTGTAGACACTAGACAATCACTAACCAAATGATATAAGAAGAGTTTAAAAAATAATTGTCAGTTAAAAAGCACATTTTCAGTCTATACAGGGAAATTTTCAGGATGTTGTTTTATCACTTGCATTAGTATAACCCATCAGAGCTTTTAAAGGATGTCCATGATCTTATTTTGTGATCTTATTTAAACCTCAGAACAGCCCACAGAGTTTGGAATGAAACTCTCAGAATTCACTATGTATAACTAAAATGACACTGAGTGATACCCTTGAAATTTCCGAAGTGAATTAATAATGTTAGCACCAAGCTTAAAACCCTTGCCTTGGTCACCTAATCCAGAGATGGAGGAACTGGGGCTGATTTTACTGAGTAGGTTTTGCCCTCTACCTCAGTTTGCCAGTGTGAATTCAATTTCCAATCCATTAATAATCATAAGTCCTATTATAACTACATTTTATTTTCTTTCATTACGATTCCCTTTTAGTTTATGTAGCTCAGATATTGAGCTTAAGAAGTGATCTTTGAAAAGAATAGATGTTTAATTAATTGCAGGTTCCCTCCTATCTCTTGTCTAGGATACCTGCGAAATGTTGAATTAATTGATCCCCAGGAGGCCAGTAATAGGAGAATAATGACTCTTCGTCAACCTCAGCCATACACTGACAACATCAGTTTAGAAGTTGGCAATTTATATCTTTTACTGTCTTGGATCTTCTTATCTTGTTTTCTAGATTCTCATCAGGAGACAGGCACAGAATTATCCTGTATGTTTGTTAATTAAGACATGGTGATGTGGCATCATTAGAAAGGCACAATCAAATTGGAACAAATCATGTTCCAAGGGAAGAAATAGAAATGAAAAGCTGTGTGTTCAACTACTGAACTTCAGAAGTGATTTTTGAAGAGAATCAATGCTTAATTAATTGTAGATTCTTTTCTATTTCTTGTTTGGGGTACTAGTACCCTGGATGGGTTTGAAAAGTGATGTTTTAAACTCTCCATACTAATTAAATCCATAAAATACTTAAGGAAACTCTAAACTGAGAAAGGTCTGTAGTTCTCTTTACTGCAGGACTCAGAACACTTATGTCTACAGGTGGGTAATATAGTACACAGTGCCTCTTGTCTTTTTCATGCATTTTGATTTCTGATTGCATTTTAATTCATTTTCTATTTTATGGTAAAATTTATCTTTTCTGTCTTTTTTCTTTACATGTGAAAAGCTTCTCTCTAAAATTAGATTAGCTTCTTGAAATAATGGATTTCTTTTGTAGAAAGAAACTGGAGAAATATTTGATTTCTTTTCAGGTCCCATGCTACCCAATGTAGTACTGGATTATGTTATTAATTTCATGTTTCAGATGTGGAAATTCACTGAGGGTAAGAGAACAGAGTGAGTTCTTTTAGGGTTTCTGGTCTGTGCCCAAAGACTCTGTCTATACTGACTTGTCTCAATTTTCCCGTCTGTGAAATGGGGATAATAACAATACCTACTTAGAGTTCTTTTTTTTAATGATGACTACTTGAATTAATTCATATTCAATAAAGATTATGTATATTACTAAATGTGGTTTAATACATAAAAGAAAATAGAATACATTATGACTACCTAGCAGATAACTCTTGCAACTTAAGTCTTTAGCTAAGTTGTCTAAAGTCCAACAATTGTACTTTTGCCCCCAGTTTATCAGAAATATGAACTGCTCTTTCTCTTGATGACTTCTGAGTAGTTCAGCAAGCCACTAAAAGAGAAAACAGCTTGACTGTGGAAAACATTCTATTCCATGGTATTGGACTGTAATAGGATTCAACCCTAGACTCACTATGTTCTAATCTGAAAAGCTCTGTTCCTGCTTTTTATGACCTTCTTGTAGAAAGAATTTTTTTTTTCTAATTTAGTACTGTGGGGTGGGGAGGAACAACCTGATCAATTTTAACATGTCTTAGCTTCACTACTTTTCTATACAAGGAGAAACCAAATGGAAGCTTAAAAGAAGGTAATGGAAAAAAATGTCAAATTAACACAAAGTCGTTATTACAAGGTCCCAAGTGTTTGGATATTTTGGATTTTGAGTTATGAGTGGTAAAGAATAAAAATAGGATTTGAAATCAGAGAACCAAGATTCCAATGCAGGTGAGGCCATTGTTTTGTTGTATGTGACAATATACTTTTGTTTTCTCATCTGAAAATGGGTGCAATAGTAGCATTTACCCCCACAGGATTGTAATAAGGGTAAAATGAAATAATGTGTGGGAATGCATCCAGTAAACATTCTCCATTGTCATTAGAAATGAAAGACTAGTGTTATAGTCAGTCACTCAGAAAAATGTGACACTCTCAGCATTGTTCTAGCCTATTGTTCAGATGGAACATAAAGCAATATGCTCAATCTACAAAAACATAACCTGAGAGCAGACAAAATTAGGACCAATTACCTGCACTGTAAATGCCTCCACATCTTTTATTTTTGTTGTTTTTTACTTTTCTACATATTTCCCTTGAAAATAACAAAACCTTCCTCAGCATGAAAACTTTTTTAAAAATGGCATGACAATGAAGAATGTTGAAAAGCTTAAACTGAACACAATTGTTGCTTCTTGAGGAACAATTGCAAATAATGATTAAACTAACAAGAAAGTTCTAGTCAAGCTGTGGAAAACACCATTTGATTTGCCAGAGCTATTCAAATTTTTCTAAGTTTGGAGTACTGAATGAAGACTTATGGTTAAGTGGTTAAATGGTTAAGAACACTGACTTTGCTTTCAGACTAAGGCTCAGTTTGCAAGTCTGGCACTTGTAAGCTGCAAAAATGTGAACAAATATGTAAGCTCTCTTAGCCTCAGTGTCCTCATCAGAAAAATGGGAATATTACTTTGCATGGGGTATAATGAGGAGTGAGTGAGATAACACATCTCTATAGATGCTATTGTACCCATTTTCAGATGAGAAAAAAAATGTATACTGTCACACACAAGAAAACAATGGCCTCACTAGCATTGGAATCTTGGTTCTCTGATTTCAAATCCTGTTCTTATTCTACTTCTCCGCTCATACCTCCAATCCCCAAAACTTATCAAACATCCAATCTATTTTGAGTATTATTTTCCTTACAGTTGTACCTAGGGTAGTATACTTTCCTGTACCATTATCTAGGGAAGTAGATATCCAGAATTCTTTCTGTATCCATTACCTCTGCCTGAGCTCTAGAAATTTACAGAATGTGACAGCTGGCTAGGGCATTAGAGCCCATCCAGTTCCATACCATCTTTTCTTAGAAGGGCCCCTGATGATTTGATTAACTATCATGGAAACTAGATGTTCTGTCTAGAGGCCAGATCTCTATACTATCTGCCCCTAAGTTCTCCATCCTCTTCCATTCCTGGAAGGACATCTGACAATACAATTGACAAGAATGGACCTGCTGATATGAAGAGTTCAAAGGTAGCTGAGAGGAAATTTAACCTGTGAGAGGGAGAACTTGAAATAAGTTTAAATTTAAATCAGGCAAGAAACATGCCCTGATGCTCTTTTCAAAAATGCCTATAGCCAAGGCAATCACTTGCAGCTAAAGGAATTGTTGGGTTAAATGAATTAAAAGTTGTGCGTGCCAAGGTGGAACACACCTGCTGACAGTGAGAGACCCATTTAATGAATATTGACTAAGGTATAGATTAAGGCACAGTAAAGTTCTGCATTTGACAGATTTTTAATACTCTGCATTTCAAGTTTGTACAAAAAGCTAATAATTTTTCTTGATAGACTATTCTTCCCAAATGCATTTAATCAGTAACAAGAACAACAAAAAGTCTTCATTCAATGCCTTAGACTTTACAGTTCCTAGGTATGCTTTTTCTATGTTTAAAATAAAATGGACCTTTGGAGAAAGGGTTTAATGAACCAGGGCAATGCCTTGAATATGGGTTAGCATTCAGAAATGTCAGAACTGGCAGTGTCCTTAAAGATCACACTAGAGGTCATTTTAAATATAAGAAACCAAGACACCAACGTGATTTATAGCTGAAAATCAAGTTCTCCAGAAATGCTTTACAAGCTTCCACCTTATAAAGTGTGATGCTTGGGAAGTAAAGCAGGTATTCATCTACTTCTTAAGATTATGATTAAAGGATTTCATCTATAGCATCCTCAAATATATGACTTTGATATTTAAAATTCCAGTGTTCTTTGTGTCTGACATTACTTTTGTCATGCAAAGGACTCATGGTCACATGCCATTATCACCATGCAGTGCAAATATAACATAATATTTATTGGGGGAAAATGTAGAAGTAATAGAGTGAATGCAATCTTTTGAACTCTGATTTCCCAATGCATGGGCCAGATATAGCTTTTTTTTTTTTTTTTATAGACGTCATGGTCAACAACCTAAAAGAGAGAGGAGGAGTTGGCATATGCTCTACGTAGTTATATGTACAGGGCAGGGAACATGTATGTGACTATTTCAATAGTTTGCTGGAGCAGTCTTGTATTGCATCAGAGAAGCCAATTATGTTTGTCTCTTCCCAGCAGTGCTTTCAGTGACTTTACATTGTCAGCTTGATATTGGCCACAGCGAGAAGATGGATATCTCAGAACTGGCACACCACAAATCAGGGATTTTTTTTTTGAGGGCTCATTTATTACCACACCAATGCACCTGTGCAACAATGGAAGTTTTCTGGTAGAAGAGTTCCCTGTTGCAATGAGAAAGACTTGGGAGATAACCTAGACCTGCTGAGCTCAATATTGTAAAGCTATCAAATGGAGAAGGATATGAGTTTTAGAGCATCATTCAGATTTGCCCTTTATTAGCTTTTTTGTAAAGGTCTCATTTTCCCATGAGGGAGAATAGTGAAAATAACACTAACAGCAAATATTAAATAGCCTGTATTGAAAGGAGTGACATCAGCAAGATGTAGAAAAGATGTAGTGTTCATCCCTTCACAGAAACATCAATTTGAACAACCATCCATGCATGAAAATATCTTTACAAGAGCTAAGGAGTCCAGATAAGAGATTACAGTACCTGGAATGCAGAAATAAGAACTGAGTCATTAAAGATGATAGCATGGATAGTTTTATATTACAGGTGTGACTCCTCCATCAGGCCTATGCAGTGCAGCCTGGAGAGAAATGCCTTCTTGGGGAAAGGAGAGTAAAGGAAGCACCTGACTTTAACACAGACTTTAAAGTGAACCCTGGCACCAGACTGGCTTATGTGGTTCTAGGCTCCAGGCTGGACCCTGAAGACCCAAGATTTAAGCCTGTTCCCATGGACTTAGGCTACAAGCCTATTCCAGTGCCAGGCTGGCTCCCAGGGACCTGGACTTCAGGTTAGCCCCTGCAAACACAAGCTCTGGGCCTGTTTCCATGGAACCATGCTGCAGGCCCATCCCCACCAACCCAGCCATCAGGCCCACATGCAGACTCAAGTTCCAGTCTTACCCTAGTGGACCCAAGCAACAGGCTGGCCCACTCAAGGAATTCAGCAATAAAGCCCACCTATGGACTCCAACAGCTGGCTCACCCAGATCTCTTTCCCTGCTGAGACCAATCTGGTATAGGGAGTTCCCTGCTCAGGCAAGCCTGTAAGAGGTCTCCTTTTTCAAATGTGCAGGCACCAATGAAGTTCCATAAGAAATAGGAATGATCAGGGAACCATGATACCACCAAAGGAACAAAATAAAGTACCAGGACCTAACCTTAAAGTCATGAAGATCTATGAATTGCCTGACAAAAACTTCAAAATAAGTATCTTAAAGAAGCTTAGAAAGATACAAGAGAACACAGATAGACAACTAAATGATATCAGGAGAACAATACAAGAGACAAATGAAAAGATTAACAAAGAGACATAAGCCGTAAAAAATACTCAAATAGAAATTCTAGAAGATAAGATAATGACTGAACTGAAAAATGTTATAGAATGCTTTGATGGCAGACCTGAACAAGCAGAAGAAAGAATCAGTAAGCTTGAAGACAGGTCATTTGAAATTACTTAGAGGAATCAAATAAATAAATAGAATAAAAAAGAGTGAAGATAGGCTATGATTGTTACAGAATACCATCAAGCAAACTGATATATGCATTATGGGAATCCCAGAGGTAGTGGAGTAAGAGAAAAAAGGAAGAGAACTTTTTTTTTTTCTTTTTTTTTGAGGCAGAGTCTTGCTCTGTCTCCCAGGCTGGAGTGCAGTGGCGCAATCTTGGCTCACCGCAAGCTCCGCCCCTTGGGTTCACGCCATTCCCCTGCCTCAGCCTCCCGAGTAGCTGGGACTACAGGCGCCCGCCACCACGCCCGGCTGATTTTTTGTATTTTTAGTAGAGACGGGGTTTCACTGTGTTAGCCAGGATGGTCTCGATCCCCGGAACTCGTGATCTGCCTGCCTCGGCCTCCCAAAGTGCTGGGATTACAGGTGTGAGCCACTGCACCCAGCCAGGAAGAGAACTTTTTTAAAGAAATTATGAAAGAGAACTTCACAAATCTTGAGAGAAATAAACATCTGGATCCCAGAGATCTTTAAATAGATGAACCATAAAGAAATATTCATGGAGACATAATCAAATTCTCAAAAATCAAAGGCAAAGCAAATTTTGAGAGCAACAAGATAAAAGCAATTTGCCACATATAAGGTGTTATAGTTTGGATGCTTGTCTCCCTGAACCTCATGTTGAAATTTGATTTTCAATATTGGAGGTGGGGCCTAATGGGAGATATTTGAGTCATGGAGGTGGAGCTCTCATGAATAGTTTGGTGCTATCCTCATGACAAGGAGTGAGTTCTCATTCTATTAGTTTCCACTAAAGCTGATTGTTAAAAAGAGCCTGCCATATCCCTTCTCTCTCTTTTCCTTCCTTTCTCACCATCTGATCTCTGCACACACCAGCTCTCCTTCTTCTGCCATGAGTGGAAGCAGGCAAAGGCCACACCAGATACAGATGCCAGCACCATGTTTCTTGTACATCCTGCAGAACAATGAGTGGAATAATTTTTTTAAAAAAATAATGGATTACCCAGCCTAAATAATTCCTTTATAGCAACACTAAATGGACTAAGACACAGGGAGTAATAAGACCATCAGCAGATTTCTCAGCAAAACCTTGCAGGCCAGGAGAGAGTGGATGATATATTCCAAGTACGGAAAGGAAAAAAAAAAAAAAAGACCACCAACCAAGAATATCTGGCAAAGCTGTCTTTCAGAACTGAGGAAGAAATAAAGACTTTTCCATACAAACAAAAGCTGAGGAAATTTATCACCACTATATCTGCCTTGCAAGAAATACTAAAGGGACTTCTTCAAATTGAAAAGAGAGGGCATTAACTAACTATATAAAAACATACAAAAGCATAAAGCTCACTGTAAAGGTAAAAATATTCTCATTTAGAATAATCTAATACTGTAATGGTAGTATGTAAAGCACATTTAACTCTAGTATAAAAGTTAAAATAAAATAATTATAAATAACTGATTATTAATTAATATAGAATATAAGAAAACATAAATTGTGACATCAATAACATAACATGGCCCAGGCATAGTGGCTCACACTTGTAATCTCAGCACTTTGGGAAGCCAAAGCAGGAGGATCACTTGAACCCAGGAGTTCAAGACCAGCTTGGGCAACATGATGAGTCCCCATCTCTACAACTTTTTTTTTTTAATTAGCTGGGTGTGGTGGTGCATGCCTGTGGTCCCAGATACTAGGGAGGCTGAGGTGTGAGGACTGCTTGAGCACAGCAGATCCAGGCTGCAATGAGCCATGTTTGTGCCATTGTACTCCAACCTAGGTGACAAAGTGAGACCCTGTCTAAAAACAAACACACATAAAAAAGCCATACAATATTGGGAGGAAAGTTAAGGCGTTGAGTTTTTATATGTAGTTAAAGTTAAGTTGTTATCAGCTTAAAATAGACTGTTACAACTATATGATGTTTTGTTTTAGCCTAATGGTAACCAAAAAAAAAAAAAAAAAAAAAAAAACCTATACTAGATATAAGAAAGATTAAGAAAAAGGAATCAGAGCATACCAGTACAAAAAAAAAAAATCAAATCACAAAGAAAGATAGCAAGAGAGGAAGAAAGGAACAAAAAATCTATAAAACAACTGGAAAACAAACAAACAAAGTGGCAATATTAAAGTCATCTGTCAGTAATTATGTAAAATGTAAATGGATTATCCCCAGTGAAAGACATAAAGTAGCAGAATGGATTAAAAAAAACAAGATCCAGGCCGGGCGCGGTGGCTCACGCCTGTAATCCCAGCACTTTGGGAGGCCGAGACGGGCGGATCACGAGGTCAGGAGATCGAGACCATCTTGGCTAACACGGTGAAACCCCGTTTCTACTAAAAATACAAAAAATTAGCGGGGCGTGTTGGCGGGCGCCTGTAGTCCCAGCTACTTGGGAGGCTGAGGCAGGAGAATGGCGTGAACCCGGGAGGCGGAGCTTGCAGTGAGCCGAGATCGCGCCACCGCACTCCAACCTGGGAGACACAGCGAGACTCCGTCTCAAAAAAAAAAAAAAAAAAAAAAAAAACAAGATCCAAATATAAGGTACCAACAAGAAGCTCACATTAGCTTTAAGGACATATATAGGCCAAAAGTGAAGAGATGGGAAAAGGTATTCCATGCAAATGGCAATTAAAAGAGAGAAAAAGTGGCTATACTTATATCAGAAAAAAAAATAGACTCTGAGTCAAAAACTGTCAGAACAGACAAAGAAGGTCATTATATAAAGATAAAGAGAGTAATCAAGAGGATACAACAATTGGGTGTGGGTGCATGTGTATACATGTATGTACGTGCATATGTGTTTGTGTGTGTGTGTGTGTGTGTTTGTATATATATATATATGAAAAATCAAAATTGTATAAACTATGATATGTACCAGGTGATACATAACTAGAAATAAATAACAGAAGAAAAACTTGAAAATTTACAAATAGTGGAAATTAATCTTGTAATGTGCCATTGGTAGTCAACTATACTTTCCCAATGTATGTGTCAAAAAAAAAAAAAAAAAAGGAAAATTAAAGGGCAAATGAGCTGAACAGACATTTCTCTTTTTTTTGTTTTTGTTTTGTTTTGTTTTTGTTAGGTTGTAGTATACATTTTTATTTAATGTATTTTCTGTGACGTCAAGTGGTAAGTTGAACTATTGTCTAAAGCAAAACACCAAAATCTTTTGGGTTTTATTATTATTATTATTAAATTTTACTTTAAGTTCTATGTAACAAACGTGCAGGTTTGATACATTATATGTATCAAAACATCACTATGTGCCCCATAAATATGTACACTTGTTATATGTCAATTAAAAATTTAAAATCTTGTGACAAACAGAAACGTCAAAACTTTCAAGACAGGCCGGGCACGGTGGCTTACACCTGTAATCCCAGCACTTTGGCAGGCCAAGGCGGGTGGATCATGAGGTCACGGGTTCAAAACCAGCCTGGCCAAGATGGTGAAACCCCTCTCTACTAAAAATACAAAAAGGCATGGTGGTGGGCACATGTAATCCCAGCTACTAGGGAGGCTGAGGCAGAGAATTTCTTGAACCCGGGAGGCAGAGGTTGCAGTGAGCTGAGATCACGCCACTGCACTCCAGCCTGTGCAACGGAGCGAGACTCTGTCTCAAAAAACAAACAAACAAACAAACAAACAAACAAACATCTTTCAAGATGCACCAAAGTAGTTCTAAGAGAGAAGTCTGTAGTAACAAATGCCTTCATTAAGAAAAAAAAAGATCTCAAGGAACAATGTAACTTTACACTTTAAGTAACTAGAAAGAAGAAAAAACTAAGCACACAATTAGTAAAAGGAAGGAAATAACAAATCTCAGAGTAGAAGTAAATGAAATAAATTCTAGAAAAACAGTGGAAAAGATTAATAAAACTAATAGTTGGTTTTTGAAGAGATAAAGTTGATGAAACTTTATGTAGACTAAGTAAAAAAAGAGAAAAGACTCAAGTAAATAAAATCAGAACTAAAAGAGGAAACATCACAGCTGATATCACGGAAATACAAAAGGTCATAAGAGATTACCATGAACAATTATACACCAACAAATTAGATAACCTAGAAGAAATAGATAAATTCCTAGACACATATAAACTACCAAGTCTAAATCATGAGAAAAGAAAAAATCTGGAGACCAATAACAAGTAGAGACCGAGTCAGAAACCTACCACCACCACCACCACCACCAACAACAACAACAAAAATAACAAAAAACAGACGCTGATGGCTTTACTAGGAAATTCTACCAAATATTTAAAAACTCAATACCGAATTCTGCCAAAAAAATTGAAGAGGAGGGAGCACTTATAAACTCATTTTATGAGGCTGGCATTACTCTCACACCAAACCTAGAAAAAGGTACTGCAAGAAAGGGAAGGAAGGGAAGGGAAGCGAAACTAAGCTTCATAAGTGAAGGAGGGATAGTCTTTTTCAGGCAAACAAAGGCTGAGAGAACTTGCCAGTACCAAGCCAGCAGTACAAGAACTGCTGAAGGGGGCTCTAAATCTTGAAACAAATCCTGGAAACACATCAAAACAGAACCTCCTTAAGGCATAAATTTAACAGAACCTACGAAACAAAAATACAACAACAACAACAACAACAACAACAACAACAACAAAAAACCAAGGTATACAGGCAACAAATAGCACAATGAATAGAATGGTAACTCAAATCTGAATATTAAAGTTGAATGTAAATGATGTAAATGCTCCACTTAAAAGATACAGAATTGCAGAATAAATAAGAATTCACTAACCAAAGACCTACTGCCTTCAAGAGACACACCTAACACATAAGGACTCACGTAAACTTAAGGTAAAGGGATGAAAAAAGACATTTCATGCAATGGACACCAAAAGCAATCAGGGGTAGTTATTCTTAGATCAGACAAAACAAAACTTTAAGACAACAGCAGTTATAAAAGACAAAGAAGGACATTATATAATGATAAAAGGCCTTGTCCGACAGGAAAATACCACAATCCTAAATATATATGCACCTAACACTGGAGCTCCCAAATTTATAAAACAATTACTAAAAGACCTTAGAAATGAGATAAATAGCAACACAATAATAGTGGGGGACTTCAATACTCCACTGACAACACTAGACAGGCCATCAAGACAGAAAGCCAACAAACAATGGATTTAAACTATACCCTGGAACAAATGGACTTAACAGATATTTACAGAACATTCTACCCAACAACTACAGAATATACATCTATTCAACAGCATATGGAACTTTCTCCAAGATAGAAAATATGATAGGCCACAAAACTAACCTCAATAAATTCAAGAAAATTATAATTATATCAAGTATTCTCTCAGACCACAGTGGAATAAAACTGGAAATCAACTCCAGAAGGAACCTTCAAAACCATGCAAATACATGGAAGTTAAATAACCTGGAAATTAATTGAAATTAAAAAATTCTTTGAACTGAATGACAATAGTGGCACAACCTATCAAAATCTCTGGAATACAGCAAAGGCGGCACTAAGAGGAAAGTTCATAGCCCTAAATGCCTATATCAAAAAGTTTGAAAGAATACAAACAGACGATCTAAGGTCGCACCTCAAGGAACTAGAGAAACAAGAACAAACCAAACCCAAACCCAGCAGAAGAAGGGAAATAACCAAGATCGGAGCAGAACTAAATGAAATTGAAACAAACAAACAAAAAATACAAAAGAGAAATGAAGCAAAAAGCTGGTTTTTTTAAAAGATAAATAACATTGATAGCTTGTTAGCAAGATTAACCAAGAAAAGAAGAGAGGAAATCCAGATAAGCTCAATTAGAAACAAAATGGGATATATTACAACTGACACCACAGAAATACAAATGATTATTCAAGGCTACCATGAATACCTTTATGCACATAAACTAGAAAACTTAGAGGAGAGGGATAAATTGCTGGAAAGATATAAACTTCCTAGCTTAAATCAGGAAGAATTTGATACTCTGAACAGACCTATGACAAGCAGCAACATTGAAATGGTAATTTAAAAATTACCAACACAAAAAAAGTCCAGGACCAGACAGATTCACAGCAGAATTCTCCCAGACATTCAAAGAAGAATTGGTACTAATCCTATTGATACTATTCCACAAGATAAAGAGGGAACCCTCCCTAAATCATTCTATGAAGCCGGTATTACCCTAGTACCAAAGCCAGGAAAGGACATAATCAAAAAAGAAAACTACAGACCAACATCCCTGATGAACATAGATGCTAAAATCCTTAATAAAATACTAGCTAACCGAATCCAACAACATATAAAAAAGATAATCCACCATGATGAAGTGGATTTCATACCAGGGATGGTTTAACATATTCAAGTCAATAAATGTGATACACCACATAAACAGAATTGAAAACTAAAATCACACGATCATCACAATTGATGTAGAAAAAGCATTTGACAAAATCCAGCATCCCTTTATGATTATAACTCTCAGCAAAACTGGCATACAAAGAACACACCTCAATGTAATCAAAACCATCTATGGTAAACCCACAGCCAACATAATACTGAATGGGAAAAGATGAAAGCATTTCCTCTGAGAACTGGAACAAGACAAGGATGCCCATGCTCACTACTCCTCTTCAACATATTATTGGAAGTCCTAGCCAGAGCAAGCAGACAAGAGAAAGCAATAAAGGCCATTCGAATTCATAAGGAGGAAGTCAAACTGTTGCTGTTTGCTGATGATATGATTGTTTACCTAGAAAACCCTAAAGATGCCTCCAGAAAGCTCCTTGAACTGATAAAAGAATTCAGCAATGTTTCCGGTTACAAAATCAATGTACACAAATCAGTAGCTCTTTTATACACCAACAGTAACCAAGCTGAGAATGAAATCAAGAACTCAACCCCTTTTACAGAAGCTGAAAAAAAAAAAATTTACAAATATACGTAACCAAGGAGGTGAAAGACATCTACAAGGAAAACTATTAAACACTGCTGAAAGAAATCATAGACAGCACAAGCAAATGGAAACACATCCCATGCTCATGGATGGATAGAATCAATATTTGAAACTGACCATAGGGCCAAAAGCAATCTACAAATTTAACACAATTCCCATCAAAATACCACCATCATTGTTCACAGAATTAGAAAAAACAATCCTGAAATTCATATGGAACCAAAAAAGAGCCCACACAGACAAAGCAAGAGTAAGCAAAAAGAACAAATCTGGAGGCATCATATTATATGATTTCAAACTATACTATAAAGCCATAGTCACCAAAATAGCATGGTACTGGCATAAAAATAGGCACATAGACCAATGTAACAGAACAGAGAATCCAAAAATAAACCCTAATGCTTACAGCCAACTAATCTTCGACAAAGCAAATAAAAACATAAAGTGAGGAAAGGACACCCTATTCAACAAATGATGCTGGAATACTTGGGAAGCCACATGTAGGAGAATGAAACTGGATCACTATCTCTTGCATTGTACAAAAATCAACCCAAGATGGATCAAGGACTTAAGTCTAAGATATGAAACTATAAAAATTCTAGAAGACAACATTGGAAAAACCCTTCTAGACATTGGCTTAGGCAAGGATTTCATGACCAAGAACCCAAAAGCAAATGCAACAAAAACCATGATAAATAGCTGGGACTTAATTAAACTAAAGAGCTTTTGCAAGTCAAAAGGAACAGTCAGAAGAGTAAACAGACAACACAAAGAGTGGGAGAAAATCTTCACAATCTGTATATCTGACAAAGGACTAATATCCAGAATCTACAGTGAATTCAAACAAATTAGCAATGAATAGATAATTCTCAAAAGAGGATATACAAATGGCCAACAAAGATGAAAAAATGCTCAACATCGCTAATAATTAGTGAAATGCAAATCAAAACCAAAATACAATATCACCTTACCCCTGCAAGAATGGCCATAATAAAAAAAATCAAAAAACAGTAGATGTTGATGTAGATGTGGGGAACAGGGAACACTTCTACACTTCCGGTGGGAATGTAAAGTAGTACAACTACTATGGAAAACAGTGTGGAGATTTCTTAAAGAACTAAAAGTAGAGCTACAGTTTGATCCAGCAATCCCACTACTGGGCATCTACCCAGAGGAAAAGAAGTCATTATATGAAAAAGATACTTGCACACTCATGTTTATAGCAGCACAATTTGCAATCATGAAAATGTGGAACCAACTGAAATACTCATCAATCAACAAGTGGATAAAGAAACTGTGATCTATCTATCTATCTATCTATCTATCTATCTATCTATCTATCCTACTCAGTCATGAAAAGGAATGAATTAATGGCATTCACAGTGACCTGGATGAGGTTAGAGATTATTATTCTAAGTGAAGGAACTCAGGAATGGAAAACCAAACATCGTATGTTCTCACTCATATGTGGGAGCTAAGCTATAAGGATGTAAAGGCATAAGTAAGACACAATGGACTTTGGAGACTCAAGGGGAAAGGGTGGGAAGGGAGTGAGGGGTAAAAGACCACAAATTGGGTGCAGTGTATACTACTCGGGTGACTGGTGCACCAAAATCTCACAAATCACCACTAAAGAACTTACGTAACAAAACACCACCTGTTCCTCAATAACCTATGGAAATAATAAAATTTATAATAAAAATAAAAATAAGTTTGTACACAACCCTCCAAATTTGTGAGGACTGTGAGTCTATATAACTGAACTATATTCATGTTACTTTAATATTTACTATTTATAATAGTTACTATGCTTCTTTCATCCACTCCAAGATAAATCACACGCACACACACACCACAAAAGAGTAAAACAAGACAAAGTGAAACAAGAAATGTCCAAACTACAAAACATTTTTCAACTATTTTTGATACTTTGGGCAAGCAAAGATCCCATCTAGCCAAAAGTTTAAGTGGTAATAAAGTTTCCAAATACTCTCCCAGCAAGTTGCAAGAATTTCCTACGTCTGATCTAAAATCTGCATCATTTTTTAAGCCACATGGAATTTTCTTTTTCTTTTTGTTTTTTTCAAACATAATTGATGACTGAAAAATACTTTCAATTAAGCATCATAAAATAGATCTGGATAAATTACTTGCTTGTTACTTCTCAGCTAATGTGCTTTTTTAACATAAGAAAATCACCTTTTGAAATCTTAATGAGAAACCTGTTCTAAGAACGTTAATTTAAATTGTGTCACTATTTTTCCTCATCAATATGAGGTGTTGTTTTGTATGTGGATAATCAGTATTTGTAAGGGAAATTTTTTCATATTCATCTTCAGAGACTACCCTATGAAGGGAAAGAACACACTCTAGTTTTAAGAAACATGATCAATATATTTCTCCTTATAGTGAAGAAAATGGCAAAGCAAATCAAGTGTAATTTGGGGGCTAATTTCTCATTTATCTGGGCCAGTGTAGAAACTCCTGGACTAGCATGGTGATAAAATTCAAGAAATCATAAATGAGTCTAGAGGGCCCAGTTCCCTTATCACCCTCCCCATCATGGCTCCAACATCATGCTCATTGCAGAAATGTTCCTGGCACTCAGTACTTCCTGCATGGCCTCCTGCTTATAAAACCACATGCTAACACTCTACAGCTTCATTATTGAAAGAAGGATAATTGGGAGATCTCTATTTGATTTCAAAGTGAACATCTGGTTTGGAACATTTGTAATTTTTTTTTTTTTTTTTTTGGCTTCCAAGGAGAACCTCACATTCAATATGAAGATGGCAGTATAATTGAGACCTCCCTGCTGATAGTGTAACTGCCTTTCATTGCTAAAGCACAAATAATTACTTATAAAGCAGCAGGTGGTCTGCTTAAAAAATCCAAATAAATGTTCTAGGTATTTTTAGACATCTTTTGCTGAAGGCCTTTCTCATTCTCTCCTGCATCAAGTAGCCACTGTTAAGATTCAGTTAGCATGATGAATACCCTGACAGCTGTTTCTATAGATGCCTTCACCTTGATTTCTCCTTTTTCCCCCCACTTGTTGAAGATTGATTCTCCTTTATTCTTTAAAGCCATCTACATCTGAATTGTATGAAGTTTTGTGTTTTTATTCATAGTTATTTCATCCAAGGCCCAAATATGAACTTAGCAGCTCATTGTATTTGCCTGTTTTCATCAGTTAAGAGAGAGCAGAGAAGATAAGAGACTTGTTCGCTGAGAGAAAGGAATGGAGCTTAGAATTCAGCACATCAAGTTCAATTTAAGTGTGGTACAAAAATCCAACTATTTCTCAGACTTAATTTTTATACCCATTGTACCTGGGTCTGTTTTTCTTTTTCTGCCTTGTCCTTTAAATAAAACTCTCAAATTGTTGGTTGTATGAAAACTACTATTAGGATGGTAACATGGATTATAAGCAAGAGAAACCTAATCTGGTCTATTTAAACATTAATAAAATTTTTAAAAGGATATTAGCAAGACATAGACTCAATGTGAAGGCTAAAGAATCAGTCATGGACACATGTAGGAACTAATTATTATTCTGCCACTTTTCAAGGTTCAAAATCCTGGGAGAGAGAAACCAACTGCCTAAATCTAGGACATATGTCCACTCCAAGCTTTACCTGGGCAATACGCATTAATCTGGCAGAAATAGCCTCAAGGAAGTTTTTATCTGTAGCAGTGCTTCTCAAGCAGGTTCCTCATCTGAATCATAGAATAATTTATGTGGCAATTTTCTCAATTCCTCCAAGAACAGTAAATAACTAGTACCATGATACATGCATGGGAGAGAAATAATTACATGCAATGGTTGCCTTAGGCACCAAGGCTTAACTGTTTCCTTGAACCTGGTTGGTTCCATTTTGTACAGCACGCATATTAGTTTACTAGCTTGCTAATGCTATACTCACAAGGGAATATATGACTCTTCAAAAGGAAATCAGGGTGCTATTAGGAAGTGGGAGATGAGCAGCCAAAAAGCAGCAAATATGTGCTCCACTACACAATAAATTTTTGACATTCACAAGGCCACATTTTCCAAACCTTTTCATGTGGAATATTAATATTCATCAAGCCACAGATAGGTGTTTCTAGGAAAAAAGTTCTTGGAGAAAAGTTTGGGAAATACTGTATGCTATAATCCTTTTCTAGGATATTAACAATATGGAAGTCTCTAAGAAATCCTACAACAAACAGTGAAGAGACCTGTTTGATGGTGTTTCCCAAACTAACAACATTGTGGATTCTTTTGATAATATATCCCACAGAATAACCATTGCAAAGAATATATTTTAGAAAGTAGTCAACAAATATATCCTGATACTTTCAGGGATTCTCTGATTTGTTATCATCACTTTCAGGTTTAACTTCCCTAATTTAAATGATAGTAGCCAAAATGGTGGACTTTGAAATGATGCTTAAATGCTATTTTTTATTCTTTGCCTGAATAGCCACCATTTTCTTACATCCTTTTATGTGGTTCTATCTAATAAGAATGAGTAAGTGACTTCATGTGGCATCATTCTCTAACCTTGGCTGTATGTTGGAAATTACCTGGGGTAATTTCCCAACTATTATCCTCCATCTAAAACTATGAACTTTGCCCTATGTGTAAATGGTACCTTGAGAGAACCACCAACAATATGGGAAGTCATCATGATTAGCAGAAATTTTAAAAATAAGCATATATATCATGAAGACATACTAAAGCAATGGTTCTGAAAGTTTAGCATGTACCAGAATCACCTGGAGGACTTGTTAAAAACACAAAGGGCTGGGTCCCATCTTCAGAGCTTCAGTTTTAGCAGGTCTAAAGTGGGATCTGAGAATTTGCATTTCTACCAAGTTTCCACGTTATGTTAAAGCTGCTGGTCCCAAGACAACACTTTGAGAATCACTGAAATACAACATAAAGATATGCATCTAGAATATTTTCAGCCAAGTATTTCTATCTACTTCCCAGGTTGGCACAATTAATTTGTTTATATGAGAACATATTGTCTTTTGTAAGTGCTGTGGCCACCTACAGTTTTATTTCCTTTTTTTCACAATAGAATGCAATAAATCTTAGACCAGTGTTGTGTGGCCCATACTTGACCACCACATAGTGAAGAGAAGTGACAGTCAAATTTGAGCTTCAGGAGGAACCTAAATTTGTGTTCACTGGGGATTGCAGGTAACAGAATATGTAAAGTGTAGCTGGAAGGTACTTGATATCAAGGAGGGTATTTTTCTGTATTCATGTTTAGAGACTCTCTTGAAAGTAAGAAACAAACTCTTATTAAAAACAGACTAGTTAAGATAGTCCCTGACTTTGTGTGGATAACTAAAAATAAAATCAATTAGTATAACTTGAGCTATTTTCTCAATCAGTCAAGTTACAGAGAATCATGTCTTTGTGAGACTCTTTTTTCAGCTATTTAAGTATTGACATAAATAGATATATGGAACTTAGAACTAAAGTTTCACATTGGTTTACCATAAAGTATTAGAAAAATATTTTAAAGAAATAATAAAGCATCATTTTATCACATTTTATACCAATAATACATAATATAAAGTTAAATCTTATTTGTCATTTTTATTCTATAATCTCTATTTCAATAGTTTAATTATATCCTCTAAAACATTTCAAATATTTTATGATACATGGTATATTAAAATAGTAGTGTTCATATACAATTTATAGTTTTTTCTTTGATATGACATTCTATAAAAAAGTTTAGAAAAAAACCATTGTTCCTTTTGTTTGTTTGTTTTTCTTTGAGACAGGGACTAATTTTTATGCCCAGGCTGGAGTGCAGTGGCACCATCTTGGCTCACTGCAACCTCCACCTACTGGGCTCAAGTGATCCTCCCACCTCAGTCTCTCACTTAGCTAGGACTACAGGTGCCTGCCACCATGTCCAACTAATTTTTGTATGTTTTTGTAGAGATGGGGTTTCACTATATTGCCCAGGCTGGTCTGGAACTCCTAAGCTCAAGTGATCTGCCCACCTCAGCCTCACAAAGTGCTGGGATTACAGGCATGAGCCACTGTGCCTGCCCTAGAAAAAAAACATCTATTAGAAGCCCAGAATATCCTGGGGGTTCTATTTGAGACTGAAACACTTTTGTGTGTGTAGCAATCTATCTGAAGTGTTCCAGGCAACATGTCAGCCCTAGTAGCTATCACTTTATATGTTGTCAGTAATTTAACTTGCAATTGAATAACTATTAAATCCTAAAATATTAGTCTATTTTTTGGTCAAGAGGGGATTTATTTGAATCAGAGCTATTAGCTGGCTTTCAACTTACGAAATGGATGATTCTGCAAAAGTGTATTACTACATGTTAAACTATAGTGGGATGTTAATGGCCAAAGATGAGCAGTCTTCTCAAGTGTTAGTCACAATCAAGGGTTGCTAAGCAAGTGTTTAACCATAGGATCTCCTCCTGTTATCTAACTATCCAATTCTAAGCATAATTGGCATCCATCAAAAAAGGAAACAAGGCGGGCTTGTTAACTATCCAGAGTCCATTCTTGTAGTTCTGATTACTAAGATACTAGACTATTAGAGTAGGAAATTTTTAAGATAACAGTAGACATTTACATTGCTTTTACTATATAGCTCAGACACTGTTCTAAATATATATTACTCTTTTAATTCTTAAAAACCCTAAAATACACATGCTATTACTAGTCTCATTTTTTAGGTAAGGAAATGAAGACAGTGGAAATGACTTGTCAAAAGCTTAACAGCTAGTAAATAGCAAAGATAAGATTCCACATGAGTAATCTGACTCCAGAAGTTGGGCTTGTAAATACCTCACTATGTTCAGGGTCCTCCTACGAAGAGTAAATATTAGAATCAGAAGAGGAAGTTCTTAAAAATTACAGATTTTACTTAAACTCCATTGGGGATTCTAATATACAAACTCACACCCTACCTGTATTCATGCTCATAAACCTTAGGAACCCATTACTTTATCAAATATTTTTGTCTTATGACTATGTAAATGTGCAATAAAGGCTTAATTTAGCATGCCTGGGTTTCCCAAACCCTATATGCTCCAAAGGTCTTCAGAACTGACTCTTCACTAGCTCCTAGAAGAAAACCTCTAAGCCCTTGGAATATTCTATCTGATAAGGGTATCACTGTATTCCTGGGAATTTGTCCCAGGCCTGATAGTGTATGCTACTCATGTGATTTATGGTGAATGCCTGCTTTTACTCACCTGAGGCTTTGTGCCTTGCTGTATAAATTTGACCTTTTACGGGGTGGCATTAAAGAATGAGTAGCTAAGGGTCAGTCATAGAGGTGCCCCATGCCTATGTAACTGACTTCCAATAAAAAACTTGGACACCAAAGCTCAGGAGAGCTTCTCTGGTTGGCAATATTTTGTACATGTTATCACACATAGTTTCTCAGAAAATTAAGTCCTGTCTGTGTTCCTCCATGGGAGACACTTGGAAGCCTGCACCTGGTTTCTTGCCATGCCATCTACCTTTGCTGATTTTAATCTGTATTCTTTAGATATAATAAACTGTAATAATGACTGTGGCAGCCTTTCTGTGTCCTGAGAGCCCTCTAGGGAATCGCGAAAACTGAGGTTGGGTATCACATCAAACCTCCAACCTGTTTGTAATTTAATCTTCATAAGGTCAGAGAGCGTATTTCTTTTTCTGCTTGTTTTCTGCCTAGAATGTGTGGATATTCCAGAAATATTTGCTGATAAAAATGAATTGCTTCCATAATTAGGGAAGAAATTCTTTACCTGGCGAATCTTCAAGTTATGCACCATCATCATCGTCCTGTCTGTGTCCCACCCTTCCTTGTAATATCTTGGGTTATTCATCTTTCCCATTCATGAACTTTAAGCTTTTGTCAGCACCAACTCACCTCTGTCCCCTCTCAAGATCTGAGAGAAATGTAAAGTGGACTTTCTTTTATAGAAATTCAATGACCTATAAATAATGGAATTTCTTCCTAAACCATGTGTCACAGAAGAAGTATGGAGTACATAACAAAGGGTCATCTATGGTAGAAAAGGTCACTTCCAGCTGAGATTATCGTAAAAGGATGGAGAAAAGAACTTTCACTGGTTCTCAAATAGTATATTGAAATTAAGTATTTGAAGAGGCAGAGAAAAGAACTTCCTAGCAGATGGAAAAAATATGAATAGTCATCAAATTAGGAAAATGTTTGCCATAAATTAAGAATGTCAGAAACTTAAGTTTGGATGAAATATAGACAGTATTAAGTCAGTCATGATAAAAAAAAAAAAAGGCTAGGCTGGGATTAGGTCATGAATGGCCTCAAATACCAAACTAAGATATTTGAATTATATTTTTAAACCACTGGAAGCTATTTAAGTTTCAGAAGAGAAAATGAAATGATAAAACTGCACCTGAAGAAACTGAGAGCTAGATGAGCTGCAATGAGTAAAAAGCTACAGAAAGAGAAACCAGTTAGAGGCTGCTGCAATAAACTCTGGGGCTGGAGAGAAAGGGGAAACAGCAAAATCTGTTTTTTAATCTTTAACTCACTTAACACCAGTTTGCAACAGAACTATGAGTTCCTGAATTATCAAAAGCAGCAGTATGTTCATTCTTTTGGAGCCTTGAAACTGGCTTCCTTTTTAAATGAAGCATTTTGAATTCATTGTAAAATTATATTTCAGCTAGAACCACAGAATTTCCCTGGCAATTATCCAAGGTCATTAAAAGTAATAACAGGGACTTAGGTAAAAATGAGCATGAAATCTCCTCCATCTTGAGAAGTGATAAAATACATGATATTCCTTTCTGTATCTTACAGTATAATATTGTTTCACATAGATGTGTTATTAGCTTAGCTAATTTATATTGAGTCTAAAGTTGCAGAGTCGACATAGGTCAGAACCGAGGCAGTTACTAAGAAAACCCAAGCCAAAAAGTCATTACAATTCAATGAATTAGTTTCTGGAGCCAGATTTTCTAATTTCAATGTATGACTAATAAACTTTCCATTATTTTCATTTCATGCATCGCTCTCCCTGACCATCTTCTCTCTTTTTAACTCACAGCTTCTAATATTGACCCCAATAATCCTTCAACTCTACTATGTTCTCCAATCCATGGATTCTATCAGATTACCTCTATCCTTTCTGTTGATGGCTTCACTATCCTCCTTATCCTATATCAATTGTTACAATCAGTCTCTTGATTCATTTTTCTCTTTCTATGGTCTAGCAAAATGCAACCTGGTCAAATCTAACTTTTCCCCTACTCTAGGGCACAACCCTCTCTTGGTCTTCCTTCTACTTTGTTGACCATTCTTCAATAACCTTTATTGTTTTTTTTCTCTTCTTCCCATCCTCCTAATGATAGAGTGCTCATTCTTTATACACACTGCTCTTTCTATCTATATCTGCTTCTTTAGTGTTCTCATCCTATCTTGGCTTTAAATACCATCTATATTCTGATATATACCCCATCTAAGACCTCTCTTTTGATGTGCACATCCAATGGGCTATTCAGCATCTCCACTTACATATTGTGCTGTTTATTCATCTAATGACTCTCACTTTCAAATTTACTCTTTGAAACTCTGCTCATTGATACTGGTGCTGATACCAATAATCTTAAAGCTGTACATCCCAGAGTCCCTTGCCAATGACTTTCTCTTAGATTCTGCCAGATAGAGTCATGAGAGAGAAAAAAGATGCAGATAATAGATCTTTTATGTACCCTGCCTCACACGCCCTTGACTCACTTTTTATTTCAGCTACACTGTGATGGATAGAGCCCAGCATGCTGACAGTGTTCCATGAGAGGGCTTGCCATTGTCGTTTAGCTTTTGTGCTTCAGGGCTCTCTCTCAAGCCACAGGATACACTTAGCCTATATTCAACTGCAGCACAGAAATTAAAGCGAGTTAACACTCCTAGAGAAAATCCTCAACCAATGTAATTGGCTAACTACCCCAACTTTCTGGCCTTCAGATGTACATTCTGAGAGGAATTCTGAATTCTTCTCATAAGACAAATCAAGCCCTTTTTGCTTACAGTCAATAGCCTTCATGATGCATCAATTTTTGGCTTTTCTTCCCTTTCTCATCTCATTCTTCTCACTTTCTCACTCCTGCTCCCCTGAGATCCTTTCTTAAATATAAACTATCTCTACCCAGTCCTTGTCATGCTCTACTTTCAGGAAAACTAGGAGGAGAAGCAGCTTCCTCCTATGTTTTACCCCTTTAGCCCTCTGTATTAGTTCATTTTCACACTGCTATAAAGAAATACCTGAGACTCGGTAATTTATAAAGAAAAAAGGCTTAATGGACTCGCAGTTTCACATGGTTGGGGAGACCTCAGGAAACTTACAATCATGGCGGAAACAGAAGCAGGTACCTTCTTCACAAGATGGCAGGAGACAGAGAGAGAGCCAACAAAGGAAGAACGCTTATAAAACCATCAGATCTGATTGGAACTCACTCACTATCATGAGAACAGCATGTGGGAAACTGCCCCCATGATTCAATCACCTTCTACTACCAGGTCCTTCCCACAATCCTCAATACCTGAGGATGACAATTTGAGATGAGATTTGGTGGGGACACAAAGCCAAACCATATCGCCCTACTTGGGTCATTTTACAATGGCAACAATTAACCTAGTCTCTGGCTTTTTTCAGTACTCCTAGATCCTCCTTAACCTGATCCTTCCTTTTTTCTGTAGCACTAATCACCTTCTAGTATGCAATTTTTTAAACTTATTTCTTGTGTTCATTGTATATGGTTTATCTATCCCCACTCTAATGTAAACTCTTTGAGGATAGGCATCCTTGTTTATTTTATTCACTGGTTTATCCCAACTGCCTTAAAGGATGCCTGATCACACAGTAAGCACTAAATAGTTGTTGAATAAAAGAACGAATGGCTTGACCACTTAATTATTCAACTGGAGAACATTATTTAGCATTCCAGCTTCAATTTCCTTACCTATAAAACATAAAATATAGCAGTACTTTTTTCATAGGGTTATTACACAGATCAAATAAATTAATAAAAATAAGGAGCTTAACAGAGTGCCTGGCACATAGTGAGCCCCACCACATATTAGCTACTGTTAGTTTGAGTGTATGGACACTACCTCTATAGCATCATAGAAATTGGGTCATTAGACACCCCATTCATGGTCTCCTCAGGCAAAATGTAGCGACTAAAAAGACAGGCTGCTTAATCATAGACAGTCAGTACTGCTTATGCAGACCCAACCCAGCTCTGTCACCTCCTGTTCCTTCAACTTGGCTCCATATTACTAAGGGAGACAGACGGCTTCCCTCGGAGTTCAGTAGAGAATTTATAACTAAGAATACTCAGGTTTTTGCATGATTAAAATTGAATCTTCAATTCACTCCACCTTCAGGAAAAATTGATTTACAAATAAAGGCTCCATGCCAAGCAGCCAGATAAGAAGTTAATTGAATGTTCAATGTGTACTATGGCCAGAAATTCGATGTTTTATACAATTTTTTTTGTTTATTTCAAACTTTCTTTTCCACAAACAGCTATAGCCTGTTTTTTTTTCTCTGCTGAAGTTATAGAGCCACTGAATATTTGAGGTTGACCTAAGAGATACTCTGGTTCAGCAATGTTTTGCACTGGAGGAGAGGGCAGCAATGATGAATCAAAAATAAGTCCAGTTCCCCCCAAAGTATAGGCAAATGGGATACGAAATAATAACAATTTTAAAAACCAGAAGCTATATTAAAAAATGAGTCTATTTTCCAACCAGTGCCAAGCAGATCAGTAGTAGAGCCAGGCAGATGCCTGTTTACCTGACCCCTGATTGATAACGCCAGTCTGTTTCCTCGTCTTTATAGAAATATTACATGCAATCTTTGAAACATCAGAACCACACATAGAATGGAAAATCTGCTTTATCCTCTTTTAACAAGTCTTCTTGAGTCTTGCCTCTATTATGCAAGGGGTAAGAATAGGTTTTCATTTTCCTCCTCCTTCTCCATTGGGTTTGTTCTCTTTTACATTTTTAAAATGCTGCACACAGAAGAAAAAAATAATCCCCAAATGGACCACATGCTGACAAGCTCCTAGTGTTGTCAAATGAAGCTGGAGCATTATGTTTCAAAATTTCCTGGATGAGAACCCTGCCTTTTACAATGGTGCTTTCAATTTGGGGAACTAAATGTTCCCTGGAGAAGGAGGTGGGATGATAGGGAGGAAGCACTGGCTAAATGGAATTAACCAAAAATCAGGAGCCTTGTTGTTAGGAAATGATGCCTTTTCTAGCCTAGACTCGTAGAAACCAGACTCCAATTTACAAGTATTTTGGAGAACGTCATACCCCTGCCCATTGGGAAGAGAAAGATAGTTTTCCTAGGCACATCAGCAGATGGAATGAATGAAGCTGGAACTGGTACCCCATCAGCTGTTTCCATCTGACAGTTAAGGTCTCCAAGCACTTAATACAAAAAGCATACCAATCACTATAAGCTTTCAGTTTTGTACCCAAGTTGAATGTCAAGCAATATTTCATAACTTTTTCTTGTCAGGTCTAGCCATACTATTTTTTAAATTCCGTCTATAGGACATGTTTTCTCTTACTTTCATGTCTGCATATATGGGCTTCCTTTTACTCAGAACACTCAACACCCTCATCCTGCCCACAGTCTCCTTGCCTAGTGGCTAAAAGTACTCAAACTTCCTTAGTTCACGTCCCAGGTCTTACACCTAATAGCTATGTAACACTATGGGAAATTTGCTGAACTTTTCTCAGTTCCTCAACCAGAAAACAGTAATAATCACAGTACCTGATAAGATTGTCATGAAAAACAAATGAGAAATCAATCAAGGTAGAATACTTAGAACAATGACTAGCACATAGTAAGTATTCAATAAATATATGATCCTTGCTACTATTGTTATAAATAATGTGCCTGGATTTTGGAGTCAGACACCCTCAAATCAAATCTAATTTGAGCCCTGGGTTGGGTTCAAGTAATCATGAGCAAGTTACTTAAATTTCTTCATCTGTAAAATGTACATAACAATAATAAAACTTCTCCGTAGGCCAGGCATGGTGGCTCACGCCTGTAATGCAAGCACTTTGGGAGGCCAAGAAGGGGGGATCACCTGAGGTCAGGAGTTGGAGAACAGCCTGGCCAACATGGTGAAACCCCGTCTCTACTAAAATACAAAAATTAGCTGGGTGTGGTGGCGGGCACCTGTAATCCTAGCTACTTGGGAGGTTGAGGCACGAGAATCGCTTGAACCTGAGAAGTGGAGGTTGCAGTGAGCTGAGATGGTGCCACTGCGCTCCAACCCGGCAACAGAGCGAGACTTTGTCTCAAAAAAAAAAAAAAAAAAAAAGAAAAAAAAGAAAAGAAAAGAAAGGAAAAGAAAAGAAAAGAAAAAAACTTCTCTATAGAGTGTTAGGAAAATTAAATGAATTAGCAGCATGTCTAGAATATAATACAAACTCCATACTTATTAATAGTTCTGCTTATTCTTGTAAGTCTCAGCTGTGATGCTACTTTTTCCAGAAAAACTTCTGGTACTCATTAGGCCCATGTTATTTGCCCCTTCATCGAGTTTCCACAGGCCCCTGAAGTACCCGCTGCTGTGACTTGCCTCACCATGCTGTAATTTCTGTTCTCTTGTCTGTTTTCCACTTTAAACTGTGAGTTTCACTAGGGCAGCAATGTTCTCTGGTTTATTCACCATTATATTTAATCAGCCAGCCCCAATACAGGTATATGATAAGTTCAGTGAAAGCATGAAAGCTTTTGGTTATACCACTCTTCTCATCTTGATTTTTTTCCTTCTACTGATCATAAAAGCATTCATATATATTTCTTTAAGGAACATGCCAAGAACTGGCAGGACATGAGATTGCAGGGCTTTTTTATTAGACAACAGAGTTTTTGATTTAGATGTCAATCATCTGAAAGTGTGAACATTTAATAATCAAATCTAGATTTGTGATTTTTCATGAAAAAACTGGAAGATTCTATAAGACAGAGGCCTATAGTTCCACTTTGCAGCAATTGGCTAGAGCCAAATAGCAGGTGCCTGCTTTTAGATGTTTAGTTTGAAGATGTTACTAAGGCTATTTTACTCATTTGTGTTCCCATTCGGTCTTTTATGTGTGTTTTACTTGGAAACCTCCTGTTTTAACGGTTGTGCCCTTTGGCTAAATTAAATAAACAAACTGACACTGGATAAGTGCAGGGGTGGGGGAGTTAAAAATCGATATAATAAAATCTAATGATGAAGAAGGGCCTCTCTTATCTGAAAAAATCTGCTTCCATGTTCCTTAAATGAATATTTATTAAGCTGCTGTACTCTAAGGAAAGCAATGTTGTATTAAGACTCTGAAAATCTACTTCCTCCCATAGTACTCTGTGATACTGGATGAATGGCATCAATTGTATGAGCCGGTGTTATCATCTGAAAGTGTGGCTAATACTCCGCCATCTCAAACATACTACCAACTATTTAGTACAAACACAGATCAATTTAATTTAAACGTTAAGAGATCTGATTCTGGAACCAGACAGACTGGGGTTCAAACCACTTACCAGGAGCATGACCTTGGGCAAGTTTTAAAACTTCTATGCGTTTAGTTTCTTCTTTTGTAAAATAAAGATAATAATATTATCTGATTCAACATGTTATTGATTTGGATAATTTATCTAAGGAACTTAAACATGTGCTGAGAGATGTAGTAAACTTTCAAATGATAGTTGTTAGTGGCTGTTGCAGCAGCATAAAGGGATTAGTTGCTGAAAAACTTATAGAGTAATGAATAAGAATTTCTGAAGTATAAGAACTGCTCAGAAGCCAAACATTTTGTGGAAGCAATGTTTTTTGAAATAAGTACAGAGAACATTAGAAGACAAATACTATTCCGCACCTACAAAACACTTTCTCTGATCCCTTTTTGATGGGAGCTAACTAAAAGGAGTAGTGTTTGTATTATAATCAGAGAGTAGACGCCTGGGAAGTATTTTTATTTTAATGGTTTGATTAATTAAGGTTTCGGAAAAAGCAGTGGCAGAAGAAGACACTGATCATGTCTTAAAAAAGATTTTTAGGAAGGAAGAGTGGAACAGGATTCCTTTTCTATCTTTATTAAGTTACAGCTCCTTCTGCTATTTTTGCAACACACACACATGCACACACACACATACACACACACACTCACATATGATCTTGTACTTTCTAAGATCTTCCTTTGTTGCCCTTCTCTTATTTCATCTGGATTTCTAAATTTCCCTTTGTCCTATTATACCTGTTATAATAAATTTGGATGTTTCTCCCAGACATTTTTCTCAGTTCTGGAAAGGTGCTTCAGTTGGTCAATTTATCAATAAAGGTAACTGGACTTATCAACTTAGTAAGAGAAGAAAATAACACAATTTTCTGACTGGTTAGCAAAATAAAATGCTGCTGCATACAATAGACAAATCTAAAATGAAGATATTTGGAGAGGAATAATATAAAGTAGACAAGGCAAATGCAAACAAAAACAAAGAAGAGGTTGTGACATTTTTCTCTAACAAGGGAAAAAAAAAAATATATATATATGTATTAGCAAGAATGGAGCCTCTAATGACAGCAATTACAATTCACAATTAAGGTGTGTCAGTTATTAATATTTATATTCTCAGTAGTACAGCAATCATTTCATAAAGCAGAAGCTACAAAAGATACAAAGATGAATTGACACAGACATGGTAATTATGAGAGATTTTAACACATCTCTCTTAATCTGAGATAAATCAAATGACCTGAAAATGAGTAGGAATTTAGAAGACGTAAATAACATAGTCAATGAGATAGATCTTACAAATATCAAACTATGAACCCAGATAATATAGAATATAGTTTCTTTTCAAGTGTACATTTAATGTTCATAAAAATGGATCATATCATAGGTCATACATATAAACTTAACGACTACCAAAGACTAGTAATAATACAAAAAGCATTCTCTAGATGCAGTGGGCTAAAACAAATTATAACAAAACCAAATTAGAAAGGCCCTTTACCTGAAAATTAAAAGAAAGAAAAAATATGTTACTAAACAACTCTTGGCTCACAGACTGGCTTGAAAATTAACAGTATTAAAAGCAAAATTTAAAAATCAGGATTTATGGCATGCAGCTAAAAAGTATTAGAGAAAAATTTTAGAGCATTAAATACACATAATATTAAAAACTAAATTCTGAAAATAAATAAACTAGAAACTTAATTCAAATTCTAGAAAGGAAAAAACAAGTTGACCAAAAGAAAACAGTAGAAATTCATAAAAGCAGAATTCCATCAGAAAACAGAGAAGAGTGAAATTCAGCTAAATGATGAGAACTCATGGACACAAAGAAAGGAACAACAGATACTAGGATCTACTTGAGGATGAAGGGTGGGAGGAGAGAGAGAAACAGAAAAAATAACTATTGAGTACTAGGTTTAGTACCTGGGTGATGAAATCGTCTGTACAACAAACCCCTGTGACATGAATTTATCTATATAACAAACTTACACATGTATCCCTGAACCTAAAATAAAAGTTAAAAAGAAAACACAGAGAAGATCAGAATTAATAAGCAAACCCAAAGCTGATTCTTTGAAAACAAAAGTAAATATATACAAAGCACTAGCTAACCTAAGTAATAAAAAGGAGAATAAACACTTAAAGTTAGAAATGACAAAGAAGAAATACTCTTTAAAACAGAGGACATTTAAAGTCACTAAAGACTATTTTGCACAATCCTCTCATTGCATTTAAAAATCTAGATGAAATGGGTAATTTTTAAAAATTATACTTTAAGTTTTAGGGTACATGTGCACAACGTGCAGTTTCGTTACATATGTATACATGCGCCATGTTGGTGTGCTGCACCCATTAACTCGTCATTTACATTAGGTATATCTCCTAATGCTATCCCTCCCCACTCCCTCAACCCCACGACAGGCCCCGGTGTGTTATGTCCCCCTTCCTGTGTCCATGTGTTCTCATTGTTCAATTCCCACCTATGAGTGAAAACATGCGGTGTTTGGTTTTTTGTCCTTGCGATAGTTTATTGAGAATGATGGTTTCCAGCTTCATCCATGTCCCTACAAAGGACATGAACTCATCCTTTTTTATGGATGCATAGTATTCCCTGGTGTATATGTGCCACATTTCCTTAATCCAGTCTATCATTGATGGACATCTGGGTTGGTTCCAAGTCTTTGCTATTGTGAATAGTGCCACAATAAACATAAATGTGCATGTGTCTTTATAGCAGCATGATTTATAATCCTTTGGGTATATACCCAGTAATGGGATGGCTGGGTCAAATGGTATTTCTAGTTCTAGATCCTTGAGGAATTGCCATACTGTCTTCCACAATGGTTGAACTAGTTTACAGTCCCACTAACAGTGTAAAAGTGTTCCTATTTCTCCACATCTTCTCCAGCACCTGTTGTTTCCTGACCTTTTAATGATCGCCATTCTAACTGGTGTGAGATGGTATCTTATTGTGGTTTTGATTTGCATTTCTCTGATGGCCAGTGATGATGAGCGTTTTTTCATGTGTCTGTTGCCTGCATAAATGTCTTCTTTTGAGAAGTATCTGTTCATATCCTTCGCCTACTTTGTGATGGGGTTGTTTGTTTTTTTCTTGTAAATTTGTTTGAGTTCTTTGTAGACTCTGGATATTAGCCCTTTGTCAGATGAGTAGATTGCAAAAATTTTCTCCCATTCTGTAGGTTGCCTGTTCACTCTGATGGTAGTTTCTTTTGCTGTGCAGAAGCTCTTTAGTTTAATTAGATCCCATTTGTCAATTTTGGCTTTTGTTGCCATTGCTTTTGGTGTTTTAGACATGAAGTCCTTGCCCATGCCTATGTCCTGAATGCTATTGCCTAGGTTTTCTTCTAGGGTTTTTATGGTTTTAGGTTCAACATTTAATTCTTTAATCTATCTTGAATTAATTTTTGTATAAGGTGTAAAGAAGGGATCCAGTTTCAGCTTTCTACATATGGCTAGCCAGTTTTCCCATCACCATTTATTAAATAGGGAATCCTTTCCCCATTTCTTGTTTTTGTCAGGTTTGTCAAAGATCAGATGGTTGTAGATGTGTAGTTTTATTTTTGAGGGCTCTGTTGTGTTCCATTGGTCTAGATCTCTGTTTTGGTACCAGTACCATGCTGTTTTGGTTACTATAGCCTTGTAGTATAGTTTGAAGTCAGGTAGCATGATGCCTCCAGCTTTGTTCTTTTGGCTTAGGATTGTCTTGGCAATGCGGGTCCTTTTTTTGTTCCATATGAACTTTAAAGTAGTTTTTTCCAATTCTGTGAAGAAAGTCATTGGTAGCTTGATGGGGATGGCATTGAATCTATAAATTACCTTGGGCAGTATGGCCATTTTCACGATATTGATTCTTCCTATCTATGAGCATGGAATGTTCTTCCATTTGTTTGTGTCCTCTTTTATTTCGTTGAGCAGTGGTTTGGGACGTATCTCAAAATAATGAGAGCTATTTATGACAAACCCACCGCCAATATCATAGTGAATGGGCAAAAACTGGAAGCATTCCCTTTGAAAACTGGTACAAGACAGGTATGCCCTCTCTCACCACTCCTATTCAACGTAGTGTTGGAAATTCTGGCCAGGGCAATCAAGCAGGAGAAATAAATAAAGAGTATTCAATTAGGAAAAGAGGAAGTGAAATTGTCCCTGTTTGAGATGACATGATTGTATATTTAGAAAACTGCATTGTCTCAGCCCCAAATCTCCTTAAGCTGATAAGCAACTTCAGCAAAGTCTCAGGATACAAAATCAATGTGCAAATATCACAAGCATTCTTATACACCAATAACAGACAAACAGAGAGCCAAATCATGAGTGAACTGCCATTCACTATTGCTTCAAAGAGAATAAAATACCTAGGAATCCAACTTACAAGGGATATGAAGGACTTCTTCAAGGTGAAATGGGTAATTTTTAAGAAGAATACAACTTATCATAATTGACCTTAATAAATATAGAAAGTCTAAAGTGATAAGTAATATATAGATGAAATAGAAAAAATTGTTGAAGATCTTAGCCAAAAAAGGATCAGAAAAAAATTGACAAATGGGATCTAACTAAACTAAAGAGCTTCCTCACAGTGAAAGAAACTATCAACAGAATAAACAGAAAACCTACAGAATGTAAGAAAATACTTGCCATCTATGTGTCCAACAAAGGTCTAATAATGTTTAAGAATCTATAAGAAACTTAAAGAAATCAACAAGCAAGAAACAAACAACTCTGTTAATAATAGGCAAAGGACATGATCAGACACTTTTCAAAAGAAGATGTAATTGTGACCAACAAACATGGGAACATGTCAATATCACTAATTATTAGAGAAATGCAAATCAAAACCACAATGTGATACCATCTCAACCAGTCAGAATGACAATTATTAAAAGTCAAAAAATAATAGATGCTGGCCAGGTTGAGGAGAAAAGGGAACATTTACACACTGCTGGTGGGAATGTAAATTAGTTCCGCCACTGTGGAAAGCAGTTTAGAGATTTCTCAAAGAACTTAAAACTGAACTACCATTTGACCTAGCAATCCCATTACTGGGTGTAAACCAAAGAAACATAAATTGTTCTACCATAAAGACACATGCATGTATATGTTCATTATAACACAATGCACAATAGGAAAGACGTGGAATTAACCAAGGTGCCCATCAACAGTGGACTAAATAAAGAAATGATGGTACATATACATTGTGGAATACTATGCAGCCATAAAAAGAATGAGATTATATCCTTTGCAGCAAGATAGATGAAGTTGGAGGCCATTATCTTAAGCAAATTAACACAGGAACAGAAAACCAAATGTTGCATGTTTCCACTTATAATTGGGAGCTAACATTGAGTACACATGGACACAAGGGAACAACAGACACTGGGGTCTAATTGAGGTGGAGGGTGGTAGGAGGGTGAGGATTAAAAAAAACTACCTATCAGGCACTATGATATAGATGATGAAATAATCTGTACACCAAATCCCTGTGACACACAATTTATCCATATACCAAACCTGCACATGCACCCCTTGAACCTAAAACAAAAGTTGAAAGAGAAAAAAGAAAGCATTGTGCTTAGCTTGTTTTGTTACAGTTAATACAAAAAACAAAATAAAACAAGAAACAAACAAACAAAAAGAAACAAGCCAATTTGAAGAGGCTCTCACTGGCCAAATATAAGATATCAAAACTGTCCAAATCTATGATGATACCAAAAACAAACAACAAACTTTGACCTATCACCATTGGAGGATGCTACTAAATCAATATTTTGAAAACTGGTAAATAGTCGGGAAGAATCAGGCATTTATATTGTCTTTCTTATGTGAATCATAGCACTTGGTACACAAATGGGAAAGGTAAATTTTTCTTCATAGAAGTATATTGGCTAATAAGTGAGTATCATCATTTTGCAATCTCTAATGAGTTAATAGATCAATATATGTATCATAAAAAGTTTGCTAACACCACAAAAAAGGCAACCAGAACTTACATGCCTCTTGATAGAATATAATATTATTTATGAATTCATCTTGCTTAAAAAAAATTTCAGCCCTCAATCCGATAAAGCTTTTAGGTCTGACCACTTTTCAAGAAACCCAGGGATATAAGCTGCAAAATCTAGATTTCAGGAGCCTGTACAGGACAAATGTTTTGGGTTGCTTATTAAACGAAGTGAAAGCAAAAAAGAGAGATGAATAGAGAGGAACTTGTAGATATAAACAGATTTAAGGCACACATCAACCAAGGTATAGATTTTATTTGGATCCTTATTGAAATAGTAAAAAGAGAAAATGAAATAATTGGAAAGTGGAATATTGACTATATATTTGCTAACATTTAAGAATTGTGTTAACTTTTGATTTAGGTGTGATAATGATACTGTGCTTTTCTTCAAAAAAAAAAAGGCTTACCTGTCTGAGATAAATACTGAAATATTTTCAGATAAAATAATATGATGCCTGGGAGTTGCTTCAAATCAGGAGCAAGCAGGAGAAATAGGCAAAACAAGATTGGCTGTGAGTTGATAATTGTTAAAGCTGGCCGGCTGATAGTTATGTAGGAGTTCATTATACCATCTATTTTTGTATACATTTAAAATATTTCATAATATAAATATTAATAAAAATTATATTACTAAAATTAAGGCACAACTCTCGTGGTTATCACATGATTATTGTTAACAAAACTGGGAGAAGTTGCTCCATCATCTGTGGTTTAACTTGTTTGAGATGGTCCCAACACCAATAACAAAGGAAATATACTAACAGGAGCAATATTCTCTTTCTCTGCTTTTTAAATTCTTTCTGTGTTTCCAGACATTCATTCAGCTTGCAGTTATAGAGCTGCTGATATTGTAAAAATGTTGCTTAGCAACATGTTAATGGGAAAAAACACTCCTTAAAACATTAGGGTTTTTGTCTTTTTAAATGTACTAGTTCAGCATATGATACCTCCCACAGCTCAATTTAACAGGAGGAAAAATATCAACTCTCTGAATATAGTGGGGTTTTTTTTTTCCATTTTCTTAGCTGGGTCTGAATTTAATAAGCATATCTAAGAAATGGAGTGTGATGATGACCATGAACTGCATACAGTTCCGTTGATCTCTTTGGCAAAAGTGGTTGGAAGTCAAGAATTGCAGCTCTCTGCCACTACCTAGTATTTGGGGTGGGATTGTGGGTAGGGAGGCTAAGAGGGGATGCAGAAAAAATATCCTATTTTTATCATCCACTCGGTATTGTTGTCCCAAAAAATGCATTAGATGTCAAGGATCTAGAAGTTGGGCCCAGTGAACACTCTTTAAGGCTCCTTTTCTATTTCAAGAAATCAGGATTTTTGACTAAATGCTCTTGAAAAGCATTTCCTTATGTTTCCCTGTGGAAGGCCCCGTAGGCCAATGATTCTCAAATTTGAAATGTGTTGACTTTGTCTTTTCTGGGCATCTTATAAAAAAAATGCAGATTCTGATTTGTAAGCCTGGGGTGGAGGCTTGGGTTTTTGCATTTCTAACAAGTTCCCACATGATGCTGATTCCGCTGGTCAGAAGAACCATACTTTTACGTCAAGGCTCTCAGCCAACGTGAATTATCAGAGGGATTAAAAAATGGCACTTATCAGCCTTGGCACGACATATGGTTAAGAGGACAGCTTGAGAGTCAGAGTCCTAGATTCAAACTTTGGCCCTGTCATTATTCACTGCACACCACTAAACATATTACTGAGTTACACTGAGCTTCAGATTCCTTATTTGCAAAACAGAAGCATGGGCATTTTCAGAGAAGATTGAATGAGGTAACAATATTACTTGAAAGATTCTTAGCTAAGGGCCTGGCACATAGTAAGTGCTCTATAAGTATTAATTAATGTTGGCATAAAGGCAAACAAATAGAGCATTTATGAAGGATCATGCCGCAGTATGAGCCTTTGCCTCCTTCCAAGGGTGGATATTTACAGAATGCCGTCTAGAAGCAGTGGAAAAAGTTGGAAAGGGCGCTGGGCTCTGATTCAGGGCGTAGATTCTTCCTCTCATGCTGCCAAGTCATACTGTTTCCTGGACCTCAGTTTACATGCCTGTCCAGTGGAAAGATTGAACCCATTTCTTCCTGGTCCGAACATCCTTAGGATATGTTTTAGCTCCCCTGGTGACTCAGTGCTGTGAGCTGCACCAATGAGCTTCAAGGATTCCGTTCCCTGTTAAATGAACATAGAGGAGAGGAGATCCACGGGTGGCAGAAAGCTTATCAGAATTGGATGAAAAGCCCAGACCCACAGGAATCAGCTAAGCAGGTGATCTATTTTAAAACCTAATTCTTTTTTAGCAACAGAGAGCCGGGGCAGTGATTTAATTACTGATGGCCTAAATCAGAGGCAAAATTAGAGCTAGCAGGTCCAAATCAGGGCAAAGAGCAGATGAGCCAGCCATCTTGAGGAGGATAGGTCCAATAAACCTTCCTGCTACCTTTCCTGGTCATACATTTCCTTGGGTCTCCACTGTACAGAGCTTTACATTTTTAAACATAGAGCATTTTTAATGCTCTATGGTTTTGTCCATTTTCTAAAGGATTCTCTAAGCATCTGTCAGCTTCTGTCTGAATCATACATAAATGTGTATATGAATCACTTCCTTCCCATTTCACACTATGTTCCCCAACCCCACTCTTTCACAGATACCCCCCCACCCCACCATTTAAAGAGTAAGTAAAGGAACTGGAGATTTTGTGGTGATTATCATACTGAAAAATGTTATTTCTTTGAAACCATAAGTACTCATAATTATTCAGGGGGGACCTCCCCACAAGAGGAATTCTAGCGGATCCCTGAAGAGTTGGGAAAGAAGTGAAATAGCAGGCCATTCTATAGAGGGTTTGACCCCTAATGTGACCACTCTGAACTAGAAAAGAACTCGGGGATCTCATGAGCTTCAATGAAGATTAAGAAAATCCTGGATTCTTAGGGACAGAAGGCATCCTAAAAATTGCTTAATGCCACCTAAGTAATCTGGTCAAAGGTGCAGGTTTTTGGGTAAGATAACTCAGATTCCTGCCCCATCACTAACTACATTTGCTAAACTAAATGAGTCGACATTTATTTGGACAAATTACTAATCCCCTTAAATCCTCTTTTTTCCTCCAATGTAAAAAGGGTAACTACTTTTGTCTTAGGGTTTTTGTAAAAATAAAATGGGATTTCACATTTAAAATACTTGGGATGATGCCTGGAACAACATCTTAGCTGTAATAATAAGGATAACAATAATAATATTCTAAGTCTTCCCTAATGAGTAGCTTTTTAGGCATTTCTTTAAGTCCTCCAGTGTGAAGTTTAAAGCAGAGGTGTCTGACACAATGATTTAAATAAAAGACCTCTTTAAATATCAAAAAAAAAAAAATAAATAAAATAAATAAATAAATAAATAAATAAATAAAGCAGAGGTGTCAAACAGACAGCCTATGGACTGGATTCTCTGCAGACTTATTTTGTTTGCCCTTTATAGTGGTGATAAAAGTGCTTTTTATTTATTTCTGTTTGTTACTTCCTTACGTTTTAGAATGGGCTAAGTTCCCTTTGCCTCTCTATTCACACTCACTCCTTAGACTCTCTCAGTTTAAAACTAATTATATGCTGACAAATCTTCAGGTTTTTAATATATATTTATGTTAAAAATTATTACTTATTAGAATGTGGGGTTGGTCATCTTAGGAAAGCTTCATCTGTCTGGGTAGCAATTTTGCATCAAAATTTTATAATTCTGCATCGCAATCTACATTTCTTGACACCTCTGCTCTAAACTTCTTGTAAAATCAGAAGATCAGGCAAATACGGAGCTCACATTCCTGCATGACAGTTATCAGCTAATGGTGTGCAGGGGCTGTCCCCTTTGTATAATCATTTTTGTTTGCTTTGCCACAGTCTACACCATTCTCTACTGTATTACTGTAGTGCTACTTTACTCCATGAACATTATCTTCTGTATTTGAGTCAGTACTTGAATCTGCCATCTCTTGATATGTTGCCTATAATATAACACCACACTTTATTATGGTTCGACTGGCAATGGTAATCATGATCATGTTATTAGACACAGAAGCATCCACTGATGATTTGAGAGAATGCCATGTAACAGGATTCAGTAGCCCATTTGGGGAACTGCCCAGATCATGCTCAATTCTTTAAAATTGTATGCCCTTCTCACCCGCAGCCCTGCTGAAGGGAGAGGAGTTACCTAAACAGCACCAGGTACTACATGGGACTGACTTCACCTTGGTTACAGGTGCATGGACCAGAAGTCAACACCTTATCCCAGGCAAATCAAATCAATCAGAATCTCTTTTCTAGTAGTTCTGAACTGGGATAATGAGAAGCTGAGTCTGGCTGATGGTGATAGTCCTGGAGCTAACAGCTCAGGCAGAGTTGAGGTTGGAAGGAGGTGGCAGGAGACAAAGCCAAAGGCCATGCAAATCAAAGTTCTGGAGGAGCATATGGTAGGCAGGAGTCACCAGAAGTCAATGTGCAAAGAGAAATAGGAAAGCAGAGCAGATGGAGAAATCAGCAGTGGAAATGCCTCTGAGGCCTCCTAGAAAGACAAATAGTATTCATTTCTGACATTCCAGTCCCTGGAATTGAACAGACAGGTTGTGCGCACTTTACTGTCTTCACTCTCTCATTCCCTGACCTTTTTTAGTTTTTTGTTTTTGTTTTTGTTTTTTTATTCACTTTAAGTTCTGGAATACAAGTACAGAACATGTAGGTTTGTTACATAGGTATACATGTTCCATGGCGGTTTGCTGCACCTAACAACCCGTCATCTAGGTTTTAAGCCCCACATGCATTAGCTATTTGTCCTAATGCTCTCCTTCCCCTTGCCCGCCAACCCCCTGACAGGCCCTGGTGTGTATTGTTCCCTTCCCTGTGTCCATGTGTTCTCATTGTTCAACTCCCACACATGAGGGAGAACATGCTGTGTTTTGTTTTCTGTTACTGTATTAGTTTGCTGAGGATGATGGCTTCCAGCTTCATCCATGTACCTGCAAAGGACATGATCTCATTCCTTTTTATGGCTGCATAGAATTCCATGGTGTATATGTACCACATTGCCTTTACCCAGTTTATCATTGATGGGCCTTTGATTTGGTTCCATGTCTTTGCCATTGTAAAAAGTGCTGCAATAAACATACGTGTGCATGTGTCTTTATAGTAGAATGATTTATATTCCTTTGGCTTTATACCCAGTAATGGGATTTCTGGGTCAAATGGTATTTCTGGTTCTAGATCCTTGAGGAATTGTCACACTGTCTTCCACAATAGTTGAACTAATTTACATTTCCACTAACAGTGTAAAAGTGTTTCTGTTTCTCCACAGCCTCCACAGCATCTATTGTTTCTTGACTTTTTAATAATTGCCATTCTGACTGGCATGAGATGGTATCTCATTGTGGTTTTGATTTTCATTTCTCTAATGATCAGTGATGTTGAGCTTTTTTTCATGTTTGTTGGCCATGTAAATGTCTTCTTTTAAGTGTCTATTCATACATTTTGCCCACTGTTTGATGTTTTTTTTCCTTGTAAATTTGTTTAACTTCCTTGTAAATTCTGGATATAGACCTTTGTCAGACGGGTAGATTGCAAAAATTTTCTCCCATTCTGGAGATTGCCTGTACACTCTGATGATAGTTTCTTTTGCTGGGCAGAAGCTCTTTAGTTTAATTCCATCCAATTTGTCAATTTTTGCTTTTGTTGCAATTGCTTTTGGCATATTCGTCATGAAGTCTTTGCCCATGCCTATGTCCTAAATGGTACAGCCTGGGTTTTTTTCTACGATTTTTATGGTTTTGGGTTCTACATTTAAGTCTTTAATCCATCTTGAGTTGATTTTTGTATAAGGTGTAAAGAAGGACTCCAGTTTCAGTTTTCTGCATATGGCTAGCCAGTTTTCCCAGCACCATTTATTGAATAGGAGATAATTTCCCCATTGCTTGTTTTTGTCAGGTTTGTCGAAGATCAGATGGTTGTAGATGTATGGTGTTATTTCTTGGGTCTCTGTTCTGTTCCATTGGTCTATATACCTGTTTTGGTACCGGCACCATGTTGTTTTGGTTACTGTAGCCTTGTAGTATAGTTTGAAGTCAGGTAGCATGATGCCTCCAGCTTTGTTCTTTTTGCTTAGTATTCTCTTGGCTATACAAGCTCTTCTTTGGTTCCATATGAAACTTAAAGTAGTTTTTTTTCTAATTCTGTGAAGAACGTCAATGGTACTTTGATGGGAATAGCATTGAATCTGTAAGTTACTTTGGACAGTATGGCCATTTTCACATTATTGATTCTTCCTATCCATGAACATGGAATGCTTTTCCATTTGTTTGTGCCCTCTCTTATTTCCTTGAGCAATGGTTTGTAGTTCTCCTTGAAAAGGTCCTTCACATCCCTTGTTAGCGGTATTGCTAGGTATTTTATTCTCTTTGTTGCAATTGTGAATGGGAGTTCATTCATGATTTGGCTCTCTGCTTGTCTATAGTTGGTATATAGGAATGCTTGTGATTTTTGCACATTGATTTTGTATCCTGAGACTTTGCTGAAGTTGCTTATCAGCTTAAGGAGACTTGGGGCTGAGATGATAGTGTTTTCTAAATATAGAATCATATTGTCTGCAAACAGAGACAATTTGACTGTCTCTCTTCCTATTTGAATATCCTTATTTGTTTCTCTTGCCTGATTGCCCTGGCCAGAACTTCCAATACTATGTTGAATAGGAGTGGGGAGAGAAGGCATCCTTGTGTTGTGCCAGTTTTCAAATGGAATTTCTCCAGCTTTTGCCCATTCAGTATGATATTGGCTGTGGGTTCTTCATAAATAGCTCTTATTATTTTGAGATATGTTCCATCAGTACCTAGTATATTGAAAGTTTTTAACTTGAAGGGATGTTGAATTTTATCAACGGCCTTTTCTGCATCTATTGAGGTGATCATGTGGTTTTTGTTATTGGTTCTGTTTATGTTATGGATTACATTTATTGATTTGCATATGTTGAACCAGCCTTGCATCCCAGGGATGAAGCTGACTTGATTGTGGTGAATAAGCTTTGTGATGTGCTGCTGGATTTGGTTTGCCAGTATTTTATTGAGGATTTTCGCATCAATGTTCATCAGGGATATTGGTTTGAAGTTTTCTTTTTTGTTGTGTCTCTGCCAGGTTTTGGTGTCAGGATGGATGATGCTGCCCTCATAAAATGAGTTACAAAGGAGTCCTTTCTTTTCAATTGTTTGGAATAATTTCAGATGGAATGGTACCAGCTCCTCTTTGCATCTCTGGTAGAATTTGGCTGTGAATCCACCTGGTCCTGTTTTTTATTTATTTTTTTTTTGGTTGGTAAGCTATTAATTACTGCCTGGATTTCAGAACTTCAGAACTTGTCTTTGGTCTATTCAGGGATCTGTCTTCTTTCTGATTTAGTCTTTGGAGTGTGCATTTGTCGAGAAATTTATCCATTTCTTCTCTATTTTCTAGTTTATTTGTGTAGAGGTGTTTACAGTATTCTCTGGTGGTAGTTTGCATTTCTGTGGGGTCAGTGGTGATATCCCCTTTTTCATTTTTTATTATGTCTATTTGATTCTTCTCTCTTTTCATCGTTATTAGTCTAGCTAGTGGTCTATCTATTTACTTAATTCTTTGAAAAAAACAGCTACTAAATTTATTGATTTTTTTGAAGTGTTTTTCATGTCTCTATCTCCTTCCGTTCTGCTCTGATCTTAGCAATTTCTTGCCTTTTGGATTTGTTTGCTCTTGCTTCTCTAGCTCTTTTAATTGTGATGTTAGTGTGCTGACTTGAGATATTTCTAGCTTTCAGATGTGGGCATTTAGTGCTATAAATTTGCCTCTCAACACTGCTTTAGCTGTGTCTCAGAGATTCTGGATTCTTGATTCTGTTCTTATTGATTTCAAAGAAGTTCCTGATTTCTGTCTTAATTTCATTATTTACCCAGGAGTCATTCAGGAGCAGGTTGCTCAATTTCCATGTAGTTGTGTGGTTTTGAGTGAGTTTCTTAATCCTGAGCTCTAATTTGATTGCACTGTGGTCTGAGAGACTGTTTGTTATGATTTCAGTTCTTTTGCATTTGCTGCAGAGTGTTTTTTTTCCAATTATGTGGTTGATTTTAGAATAAGTGACATGTGGCACTGAGAAGAATGTATATTGTGTTGATTTGGGGTAGAGAGTTCTGTAGATGTCTGTTAGGTCGACTTGATCCAGAGCTGAGTTAAAGTCCTGAATATCCTTGTTAATTTTCTGTCTCGTTGATCTGTCTAATACTGACAATGGGGTGTTAAAGTTGCCCACTATTATTGTGTGGGAATCTAAGCCTCTTTGTAGATCTCTAAGAACTTGTTTTATGAATCTGGGTGCTTCTGTGTTGGGTGCATATTTATTTAGGATAGTTAGCTCTTCTTGTTGCATTGATCCCTTTACCATTATGTAATGCCCTTCTTTGTCTTTTTTTATCTTTGTTGGTTTAAAGTCTGTTTTGTCAGAGAGTAGGATTGCAACCCCTGCTCTTTTTTTGCTTTCCATTTGCTTGGTAAATATACCTCCATCCCTTTACTTTTGGCCTATGTGTGTCTTTGCATGTGAGATGGTTCTCCTGAATACAGCACCCTGATGGGTCTTGACTCTTTTTTTTTTTTTTTTTTTGAGACAGAGTCTCACTCTGTTGCCCAGGCTGGAGTGCAGTGCCGCAGTCTCAGCTCACTGCAACCTCTGCCTCCCAGATTCAAGCAAGTCTCCTGCCTCAGCCTCCTGAGTAGCTGGGACTACAGGCCCCTGCCACCACACACGGCTAATTTTTTTTTGTATTTTTAGTAGAGACAGGGTTTCACCATGTTGGCCAGGCTGGTCTTGAACTCCTGATCTCAGGTGATCTGCTCGCCTCCCAAAGTGCTGGGTTTACAGGCGTGAGACACCGCACCCAGGCTTGACTCTTTATCTAATTTGTCAGTCTGTGTCTTTTAATTGGGGGCATTTAGCCCATTTTACATTTAAGGTTAATATTGCTATGTGTGAAATTGATCCTGTCATCATGATGCTGTCTGATTATTTTGCACACTAGTTGATGTAGTTTCTTCATAGTGTCATTGGTCTTTATATTTTGGTGTGTTTCTGCAGTGACTGGTACCAATTTTTCCTTTCCATAGTTAGTGCTTCTTTCAAGAGCTCTTTCAAGGCAGGCCTGGTGGCAATGAAACTCCTCAGCATTTGCTTGTCTAGAAAGGATTTTATGTCTTCTTCACTTATGAAGCTTAGTTTGGCTGGATCTGAAATTCTGGGTTGAAAAATATTTTCTTTTAGAATGTTGAATATTGGTCCCCGCTCTCTTCTGGCTTGCAGAATTTCTGCTTAGAAGTCTACTGTTAGTCTCATGGGCTTCCCTTTGTAGGTGACCTTGCCTTTCTCTCTGGCTGCCATTGACTTTTTTTCCTTCATTTCACTTTTGGAGAATCTCATAATTATGTGTCTTGGGGTGGATCTTCTCACGTAGTATCTTAGTGGTGTTCTCTGTATTTCCTGAATTTGAACGTTGGTCTCTCTTGCTAGGTTGGGGAAGTTCTCCTGAATAATATCCTGAAATGTGTTTTCCAACTTGGTTCCTTTCTTCCCATCACTTTCAGGTACTCCAATCAATTGTAGGTTTGGTCTTTTTATATAGTCCCATATTTCTCGGACATTTCATTCCTTTTCTTTCTTTTTTCTTTAATCTTATCTGCCTGCCTTATTTCAACAAGATCGTCTTCCAACTCTGATATCCTTTCTTCTGCTTAGTTGATTCAACTACTGATACTTGTGTATACTTCACAAAGTTCTCTTTCTGTGTTTTTCAGCTCCATCAGGTCATTTATGTTTCTCTATAAACTTTTTATTCTAGTTATCAGCTCCTGTAATCTTTTATCAAGGTTTCTTTGCATTGAGTTAGAACACGCTCCTTTAGTTCAGCAGAGCTTGTTGTTATTCACCTTCTGAAGCCTGCTTCTGTCACTTTGTCCATCTCACCCTCCACCCAGTTCTGCACCCTTGCTGGAGAGGCAAAGTGATCATTTGGAGGAGAAGAGGCACTCTGGCCTTTTGGGTTTTCAGTGTTATTTCATTGAACCTTTCTCATCTTCATAAGTTTTTCTAGTATTGATCTTTGAGACTGCTGTCCCTTGGATGTGGTTTTTTATGGGGACGTTTTTGTTGTTGATGCTGATGTTATTGCTTTCTGTTTGTTTGTTTTTCTTGCAATGGTCAGGTCCCTCTTCTGTAGAGCTGCTGCTCTTTGCTGGGGTTCACTTCAGGCCCTATTCATCTGATTTGCCTCTGTGCCTGGAGATGTCACTCGAGGAGGATAGAGAACAGCAAAGATGGGAGCCTGCTCCTTCCTCTGGGATCTCTGACCTCAAGGGGCAGCAACTTGATGCCAGTAGGAACACTCTTGTACAAGGTATCTGATAACCCCTGTTGGAGGGTCCCACCAAGTTGGGTGGCATGGGGAGCAGGACCCATTTAATGAAGCACTTTGACTGTCCCTTGGTGGAGGGGGTGTGCTTCACTGAGGGAAAACTCACTTATGTGGTCTGCTTGGATTCCTCAGAACTAGCAGAAGGAAAGACTAAGTCTGCTGGTCCATGGAGACTAGTCACCCCAGTCCTTAGGGGCTTAGACCCCGGGGGATCAGAGTTCTGTCCTTGAGCCTCTGGCTAGAGTTGCGGAAGTTCAGCCTCTGACTGGAGTTTCGGGAGGTCCCACCTAGTGAGGAAGGATGGGTCAGGGTCAGGCCTGAAGAGGCATTCTGTCCGCAGTCTGCCACAGCCGGTGTGTTGGGCTGTGGGGGATACCTCTTGGAACAAAGTCCTCCAGCCTCTCTGGCTCCAGCAGGTGAAAAGCACCACCTGGAGCTATAAAGATGGCTGCCACCCTTCCCCCACTCTGGGTGCTTAGCATGTTATTGGCTGTCGCCCCTCTCCCAATGAGCTCAAAGCGCTTAGACAGTAGACAGCCACAGCTGTGGTGCTGGTCACCCCTCCTCCCAGGAACTCAGCAGGCTTAAGAAGATTCTAGCTCAGTGGCTGTTGAGAATCTGCACAGCTCTGTGGTTGGGACCCTAGGCCCTGGTGGTGTGGGCTCACAAGTGGGAGCTTCCAATCCATGGAATGCACAGTTCCATGGAAAAAGTATGTTTTTCTAGGCTGGGTAGCATGCTTACTTACTGCCTCCCTTGGCTGAGGGTGGGGGCTCCCCTACCCTATGTGGCTCTCAGGTGGGCTGCTGCACCACACTGCTCTTCCTTCCTCTCCATGCCAGCTTCCTGGTCAGTTCTGGTGACAGAACCTGGATACCTCAGTTGCCGGTGCAGGAGTCACGTGCTGTTATGGTTCTTTTTGATGGGAGCCTCCCATTAATCCTGCTTCTAGAAGGCCATCTTGGTCCCACCCCAACCTTTTTTATTTATATGATATCATCCTCTCCTGTTATTCTCCTACCTCTCAGAATATTCCTCTCAGTCTCCTTTGTTGACTTCTTCTCCTATACTTGTTTCCTGGACTCTAAGTTCCCTTTTCCTCTCTATTCACACTTACTCCTTAGACCATCTCAGTTTAAAACTAATTATATGCTGACATACCTTTAGGTTTTTAATATAATTTTATTTTTAAAAATTATCTCATTACTTATTAGAATGTAGGGTTGGGGGTTGGTCATTTTGGGAAAACTTCATCTTTCTGGCTAACAGCCGTGCCTGACACAGAGTAGGCATTCGATAAATATGTTGAATGAATGAATTAATTAATTAACTGAATTTGTGTCTCCTGCCCAGATGTGAGCCACTCCCCTGTGGCTACAAGCTCCTGCCACACTGGATGCCTTTCAGTTTCTCTGATTTGCCAACCACTTTCCTGTCTTAGAGACTTGAAAATAGGCACTCCCCCTTCCTGCAAAGCTTTCTCAGGACCCAAAACTTTCTCTTTTGTGATATCCCACATTTCCCAGGTACTTTCTGTAATTATATTCTATTTATTACATGCATAGCCTCAGTTTATTTTCTTATTTTGTAGATATGCATGAACCTCTTTGTTTACCATATACCTGTGCCCTACACTGATTTTCAGTTTCTTCTCTCCAATATGCTATTAACTTCTTAAGTAAATGATTTGACTCATTTTGACATATTGAGCACTTAGCACAGTTTCTAGAGCTAGAATAGTGTTCAATAAATACATGTTTAATGAATGAATGGTTTCCCACAACTTATTTTATCTTATTCTCTCCACAAACCTCACTTTTATGTGAGCAACTTGATTTGATTTTTGTTTCTTGAAATCAAAGAACTTTGACTCTGACAATCATAGTGCCAAGCAAAAATTTATACTTTGTAAATGCTTTTGCAATCACCTTATTGAGAAACTTGAAAAAAATAACCTTCAACAGTGACTTCATAATGACATTAATCATTTACATCCCTATAGTTTACAAGTACATTTACATCGATTATCACAGTTAATTCTCACAATAATCTTGCACAGTAAAGGACACTTGAGACAAAGAGGTCAAACAGCTAATAGGAGCCAGGACCAGAGCCCAGATTTTCTGTTTACAGCCAGAGCTCCATGTGGCCTCTGTTGTTACAATTGCAGTGCTGCTACTGCTACTACCCCTGTCATTGATTGAGCATTTGCTACAAACCAGGAACTGTACTATGTGCCTCCTCTAATTATATAAGTTAATCTTCACAACAACCCAATGGGATTGGGACTTTTACTGTTTTCTTTTGACAGTTGAAGAAACCGAGGCATGAAGGTGTCATAGAGCTAATAAGTAGGTAATCTGAAATATGAGCTGAGGTTTTTCTGATCTCTGAAATCAAACTACAAACTACTATCATGTAGTCTCTCTTAGTACAAAAAGAAGTGGAAGAACATTTGGGATACTGGAAGTTATTCATGCAGAATAATCCAGGGTCATGTTTTGGTAATAATCCCAAACCCTTTGAGGTATAATGAAGATTAGACAAAACCTTATGTGAACAGGAAGCACAGAAGGATGTGACTAAATGTGAGCCATTTCAGCAACATCCCCTCCGATACAAGGACTTAGTTAATGCACTTAATTGTTGAGAGATATGTAATGAGATTATTCAGAGCCTTGGCTGCACACTTCTTTCCTATTGTGAATAGTGTTAATTTGCAACGATGCATAAGATGCCGGCTGAATGAAAATAAGCTAAATGAAAACTCTATTTTTTTTCAGAGTGGGAGAAAAGATAATCACAGTGAGTAATTTGATTTTGATGCACTGCCTTTCTCCTCTCATTTTAAAAACCCATACTCTTTATAAATAGGTAAAGGTATATGATCACTGGGTAGGCATAGAGAGGCTGATCACCACAAATATGGCAAAAGGAACTTCCTCCATGTGGGTGCTTATCGGTCTGTCTTCCATTGGGTAAGAAAGAAAGGAAGGAGGGAGGGATATAGGAAACATATTCAATGAGTGTGACTCTGTAAGACATGGTGTCTGTCTCTCTCTTGCTCATTCTTTGACTGGGTCTTCAGAAAACTCCTAAGGGCAGCCATGTGTACTCCCATTTTCATGACAAGAGACGTTGACTTGATTCCTCCTGTTACTGGAACTGAGAGAATAGTTAAAAGACTCAATTCTCACAGCTAGGAGTATACCAAGGGGACATAAAGATATATAAAAAGAATAGAAAACAGAAATGGGGATAGTGATGGAGGATGTGGAGATGGGATTATGTCATATTAGCATCAAAGAACCCAAGTACCTATGTTCTCAAACTAGATTTGATAATGAGTAAGCAAGATAATCAAACAAATATTTATTCAATTTAAAATATATTTGATTACCTAATTCAAACTTTCAATCATAATGGCAACAATGGCAATAGAAACTTATATTTTCAAATTCAAAGTTTTAAAAATTTCCCAATTGGTCTCATCACATTCGAGTACTTTTTTTTTTTTGCCCGTTTTGACCTTCCAAATCTGCAGCTTGGTTTAAAAGTAAATTGTCTGTATAAAAAGCCCAACCCCCTTTTCTCTGGATGTCACAAGGAACAGCTTTCCAAATCCTTTTTCACTTAGTTCACACTCTGAAAGATCAAAGCACTATGCTATGTGCCCATTCCAGAAGTCCCTTTGGGTTTAGTCCATCATGAATATAAATCATTGCATTTGCTGTGTTTCCAAAATACCCATTCATCATCCATCTTAGCATTGTTCAAATAGACATGGGGTCGGCTTAGCTCTCACCTTGATGAGGCTGTGTGCTTCTGTTTGTGCAGCCAAATGAGCACAGGAGACAATTAGCGATTCACTGCTGTGGCTGCAGGCAAAGGTCTCCCTATGGGGATAAGAAGAGGCATCCTCAAGATGAAACTCCATTCAGGTAACCAGTGTGGCTCTTGGCCAAGAAGGCAGCGCCTCTTTCTTCCCTCCAATACTGGTCTAGCTTTTGTGTAGCAAGACAAAACAAACAATGGCCACCCTTTCTCTCCTGGAGTTGACAAGCAGCAGGAAAGTATAAAGCTAGCTATTGAAAACTCAACCATTGAACTCCCTGTCACCCCAGGAACCTGACCTGTGTCCACTTTCTAATAACGACAGGAGGCAATTGTCCTTTTCTTTAAGAAGCTGTCAGCTTGGAAAGAGACCACCAAGAGGGAAAGGAATTACCTTCCCAAAGGGTCTTAATATCAAAGCTGGAAGGTACCTTAATAATTATTGAGTCCAACCTCCTTAATTTATAAATAAGCCCCAAAGACAGGAAGGATTTAATCTAAGCCATATAGCTCATTGCTGGCTGCCTCAAATATTAGAACAACTTGTTAATAAGTAAAAGCTGAGTTCATCACTTACTGTTGTTATAGCACATTATCTTGACAGTTTTGATTGCATCTCAGAATGGGAAGAGCAAATTCGTAATATTTATTGAGACTCTGAAGTCTGGTTTAAAGTGTGTCCTTCAATGGGTTAGGGTCTTTTTTATTAGGATTAGGTAAGGATCATGATGTAATAGTTTAGAATTGGTAGACACAGCAAGGCAAGGATTTTATGGTAAGAGATTAGAAGCATCTTGGGGTATAAAGAGTTGGCTTATGTTTTCTACTGAAGAGTTCATGGGTCTTTCAGAAAATTCTTACAGTGAAAAAGTTATTTGTGTTTTTTTTTTCTTTCTGGGCAAAATTTCCTGGAATAGTGAAGCTATGCTGACGAAGACAGGAGGCTGGTGAAGGCAATATCACTATAGTCAGTAAGCTGTGTAAAGGTAGATAGTTTAGATTCTCAGAGTCCATCTGCCCATCCCCACCTCCAAACATATAAATCAAACCTCACTGCAAGCCACACAGCCCTCGAACGGCAGAAGATAAACTGGAGCCAGGTCCTGAATTCCCCACCCTCTGGCATTTCATGACCCAAGAATCTATTACCCAAGCCAAATGAATAAGGACCATCCTTGGCCTTGAAAACAAAAACTTCCCTCGTAGTCTTATTTTAATCTTTTTTTGAAAGATTAGGGGAAGAAAATAAGAGATAGAAATGAGATAGAGAATATGTGTGTGGGAGAAGTCTGGCACCTCAGAGAGGGGTCCTGGAAGGTCTCTCTGAGGAGGTGACATTTGAGATGTGACCAGAATATGCAAAGAACCTGGAAAGAAGCTCTCTAAGTTGAAGAAAGTGATTACAAAAGAGACACCTTGGGGGTCAGAGGAAAAGAAAGACTGTGCCTGGCTGGAACCCAGTGGACAGGAGAAGAGGTAGGAGCTGAGGTGAGGCTGAAAGATAAGGCCAGACCACTGAGTGTCTTGCCTGCTTGAGATGGGTGTTCCTGCTGCTGCTTGTGCAGAGTGCCGCTGGCTTGCCCCATGGAACCTCATGGTCAGAGCTACTTTTCAGTGGGTAGTGAAGAGGACCATCTCCAGATTCTCCCAGCAAGGGGGCTGGAGAATATGCAGATGATCAGTTGTTTATTTTCCCCTGAGCAAAGTGAAAAAATGCCTCAACTAAGTCAGCCGTGGGGCTTCTTGGAGCAGTACATTATTACTATTTTTTTTTTTTTACTTTCGGTTTTTTGTAAGAAATATCTGTGACTTCTGGATAGTCTCTTTTTATTCTTAGCCATTATCACACTCTAACATCCATTTTCATTTCCAGTGTTGAGCTGGATGGTTTTTATGGCATCTCAGCTAAAGAAAAAGAAAATGAATGTACAAAATAAAAGATAAAATTTGTTTATTTATTTTTGAGTATAAAGAGTATTCCTATCTTTTTTTCTAAAGAAAAAAAAAACCTTTTAGGAGGATTCAATTTGACACACCATTTTCTCTTTTTAATATACACACGGGTACTAACTGGACAACTTGCAGTATGTATGCCACTATTACTAACATACGATGATTAAAAAATTTCAAGAGTGTTGTCTGATGCTTACATGAAACTACTCAATAGTATATATGCAGGCTTACTGAAGTTGTGTAACAGAGCTGAAAAGCAAGAAATTCAGTGACTAATCGAAAATAGCAAGGCATTCAATTCAACCAGAATACTCATTCATATTGTATAAATTCAAACACAGGAAAGTGTTTGTGTGCTGACATTTGGGTGCATGTGAGCTATCTTAAACTCCTTCTATTTTCATTATTATAGCTCAAGAAATGAGCAACACCACTGCAGATAAAATCATTAGGCAGAATCTGGAGAGGTTCAAGTGATACTTGCTTCAAAGAAGGCCTTTCCTGAGGACAGGGTAGGACATCTTTAATGATCTGGAAGCCAGTATTGCTCAGCACTTAAGGTATGGATTTTCAGTTTGAATCTCATTTCTATCCTAAACAACTAGCTTCATGACCTTGAAAAGGTTATTTAACCTTTACGAGCCTGTCTCCCAGCCTTTAATATAAGAATAATAATAGTAACTAATTCATAGTGTATCTCTGAGGATTAAGTCAGACTATCTGTGTAAAGCTTTTAATTCAGGACCTAACACTCAAAAGCTCAACTATCATTTTTGCATAGACTGATTAAGAGATATACTGCAGTCACTTCCACAAGAAATGGCTGCTGGCTGCTGCCTGCGTGCGTGTGTGTGTGTGTGTGTGTGTGTGTGTGTGTGTATACATAGGGGTACATGTATAAGGCAAATAATCAAATAATATACAGGAGTTAATAATGAAAAGCTGCAGTCCTCTGCTTGCCTTTTTCTATTCCTTATTGAACTGCTCAAAGGAAATCTCTCTTAACTATTTCTATTTTTCTTTTTTCCAGTGGTTCCTCATATATCTAAATAATATGCCAACACAACATTTCTTGATTCAACAACTTTAGGCAATTTTTTTTTACTCCATTATATACTAATTGAAGGTTAGTTATGAACTATGCCCAAGCTGCAAGGAGACTGAGAAATTGGGAACTTGGCATTTATAACTTTGTGTGTGTGTATGTTTGTGTGTGGGGGTTTTCTGACAGCAAGAAAAGAGTAGGAATGGTTTTGGAATAGGCTACCAACAACCTTTCTCCCCAGCACCTCTTGCCATCATTAGCACACACACACAGACAAACAGATTTGGTAGATAGAGAGAGAGAGATAGAGGCGAATGATTAATTTAGCTTACTTTCCTTTTATATATAACTGGTTGGCTTCCTATTAGTGAAAGAAACCAGCCAGTTAATGAGGTTTTTTTTTTTTTAATCTTGAGGTTGTGCTAGTGGAGAACAAAGTGAACTGGCAGTAAATTTGTAATTTCATTCAATGAAGCAGAGTATAAAATGCTAGTCTGAAATCTGCCCTACTGTAACACATTGCCCATATGTGGTCTGTAAATTCATTCTTCCATGGGAAACACATTGACTATTGCAATTGCTTTGTGTGGATTATTGTCCTTTGGGAATTAAGGAATAGATCTGTGTGCACATTTGGAGCAGAATTATGGAGATAGGGCAACTGGCAATAGACATTTTCTTCTGATAGGGTGAGATCTGATACACACAATCCTGAAACAACTATAGGCAAAAATAAAGTTCATCAATAGAAGGGGAAAGTGCTCAGAATGTATTCTTCAGAGATTGGCAGAAATCACTTGGGAGAAGGAAGATTCTGGTAGAAAAATAAAATGGTGGCTTAGTTGCAAGTATAAGAAAACACAGTCAGCTGTTGATTATAGTAAAAGAGCATTTATTGGCTCAAATAAATAAAAATAACTGAACATAGGGATATAACTGTTATCAGACTTTGTTGGAGTTAAAGGCTCACACACTTTCATCAGGACCTGTATTCCTCATCTTCCCTATACTGGCAATTTTTTCAGATCTGTATGATGGCAAGATGGTGGCAGCAGCTCTGGTGTTACATACATGTAAGTTCAAGTAAGGTAGGGAGAAGGAGCCTGTTGTTTTACTAGCTTCTTCAAAAGGCCCTCTTTGGCCAGTTTACGTAGACCTAGAGAAAGGAATACTTTGATTACCTTACACCAGAGTCACTTTCACGTTATAATGGTGTTCCACCCAAACTATGTAGATAGAAATGTGGTTGAAGGTGACTTGCTAAAAGAAATATGAAGATGTAGGAGGAATAAGCAATGGGCTTCAGCACAACAGATGTCTGCTATAGTGCTTAAAAGAAAAGAGTGACCTCAAAGTCCAGAAAACTTATGATAAGCCAGGTTATTCTTCTGTGAAAAGGAACTTTACCAGCAGAAGAAAAATTCTCAGCCAGGCACTGTGGCTCATGCCTGTAATCCCAACACTTTGAAAGGCTGAAGCAGGTGGATTGCTTGAGCCCAGGAGTTTGAGCCCAGCCTGGCCAACATGGCAAAATCCCCTAACTACCAAAAAAGAAAAAGAAAAAGAAAAAATAGCCTGTAGTCCCAGCTACTTGGGAAGCTGAGGTGGGAGGATAGATTGAGCCCAGGAGGCGGAGGTTGCAATGAGCTGAGATCATACCACTGTACTCCAGCCTGGAAAAAAAGAAAGAAAGAAAGAAAGAAAGAAACAAAGAAACATTATAATGTGCTACTTTGGATGCATCTCTAAATGTACTTTTTGTATTGAGATTCACACAAGCCAAATATTTTTTTTCTCATGAGCATTATAGCATGGCAAATAAAAGATTGCAGTGCAGTTTCATATGGCAGCCCACGTGACATGAGAAAGTGAATCTAAGCTCTCTTAAAACCATCTCCCTGCCAGAACAAGTGGTAAATAAAACATAAACCACTTTTGTACATGCTTCAAATTTTGGTATAGATGAAAGGCAATTTACTCTGGGCTGAAAACGAAATTCCTGGCAAAAAGCAATGCCTATTAACAAATGGAACAGTCCCCTGGTGAAAACATGGAGGCGTGCAACTGGGTACATTTGTCATTTTAACTCCAGGGGCAGACATGGGTATTTTAATCATGTAAAGTAGAATTACAGGTAGAAACAGCATTATATTTGATTAAAAAAAAAAGAATGTCAGCAAAATTTCTCTGAATAGATTACTTTCTACATGTGAGTAATTTGATAAGAGAAGTTAATATTCTCTATTTACTTGATTCTTATATATCTCTGTGGCAATCTCTTTTTACATTATCTTTTCATTCATATGCCTGCAAATCATTCCCTTAAATGCACTGTTCCAACCAAACTGTCTCTCTACTCAAATACCTTCAAAGTCTCTCATTCCCCACAAGAAAGCTCTGGCTCACTAGCTGGGCATTTAAGGCCTTCTGAAAAAAAGATCTGGAATACTTTTCTAGACTTCATTCCCATCTTTTTTGTCTGAATCAGGAGAGGCCACGTTATGTTAAGTCCCTTAGCTTTCTGTTGATGTGTAACAAATGACCACCAACTTATCAGCTTAAAATAACATATATTTATTATCTTGCAGCTTCTGTGGGTTGAGATTATGGGCATAATTTAAGTGGGTCCTCTGTTCAGGGTCTCACAGACTAGGATCTAGATGTAGGGAACTGCCTTCCTTTCTGAAATTCAGGGCTGTCTTCCAAACTTACATAATGGCTGTAAGCAAAATTCAATTGCTTGCCATTGTAGGTGAGGGACATTCTTTTCTGTGGCTATCAGCCGCAGGTTGCTTTTAGCTCCCAATGGACCCCTACAATTCCTCTACCTCTGGCTCACTCGCAGGCCTTATCATAACATGGAAGCCTACTTTTTCAAAGCCAGTAGGAGAATTCTTACTTTAGTCTGTTAAGATGGAATCTTGTATCCTATAATATAATCACAGTAGTGATTTCAGCTTTGACATATTCAGTTGGTTACAAGTAGGTTGTTACTAAAGGGGAGGAAATTACACAACAGTGTGGATGCCACGGGGCAAGAATGATGGGTGCCATCTTAGAATTCTCACTACCCTCCTATGGTAACAAACAACCCCTAAATTTCACGCCTTAAAACAAGCTTGTCTAACACTTGGCCCAGGATGGCTTTGAATGCAGCCTAGCACAAATTTGTAAACTTTCTTAAAACATTATGAGGTTTTATATTCTCACTCATAGGTGGGAATTGAACAATGAGAACACATGGACACAGGAAGGGGAACATCACACTCTGGGGACTGTTGTGGGGTGGGGGGAGGGGGGAGGGATAGCATTGGGAGATATACCTAATGCTAGATGATGAGTTAGTGGGTGCAGCGCACCAGCATGGCACATGTATACATATGTAACTAACCTGCATATTGTGCACATGTACCCTAAAACTTAAAGTATAATAAAAAAAAACATTATGAGGTTTTTTGCAATTTTCTTCTTTAGCTCATCAGCTTTCGTTAGTGTTAGTGTATTTTATGTGTGGCCCAAGACAATTCTTCTTTCGATGTGGCCCAGAAAAGCCAAAAGGCTGGACACCCCTCTAAAACAACAACGGCTTATATCTGTCATGGGTTAGCTGAGGAAGGGCTTTAGCTCTGCATCATCAGGCAGAGAACCAATTTGAGGAAGGCTCCAATGCCAACTTCACTGTTGCCAAGGTAAGAAAAATGCAATCTCGCTTCCACTCAAATCTCTGTGGTGAAAACAAATGACATAATCATCTCTGAGAGTCAAGGAAGCGTGATTCTGCCTTATGCTTTAACAGAAAATTGGACATATTTGGTAAAGAATAGAAATGAGAGATGAATTCCTTAATAAATGCCTTTCTGCTGCATTCTGAATAGAGCACTCTCCTCAGATCATTGATTCACTGTATTTCCTCAACCTGAATGACCTTTCCTGTATGTCCCTATTTCCAAATTATAACACTTCAGTGCTGCAGGGTCAAGCTCAAAAGCCAGTTTCTCAGTATTTTGTGATTTTTTCTCTCAAAAAATTAGTTGCCCCTTCTCAGATCTCACATACCACTCTTCTGTACATTCTCTATCTTGTATAGCATTTATAATTTTCTAATTGTGTCTCAGTTATTTGAGATGCATTTTCTCTCATATTAGATTGGGAGCATCTTGAGGGCAGAAACAGTGGTTGAGTCACAAAAGAGACTCAGGGCTATGCTCAAGGTGGTCCTAATGTCTGGTGGCTAAGTGAAATTGATCTTGTTACCCCAGAATGTGTATTTACAAAGGCAGCTTTTAGCCAATCTTTGAATTATTTAAGGGAAATAATTGCCTAATTTTCTTATTTTATAGTAAGTTATAGTTTTTCCAGTTAAATTCTTTTCTGAATGTAACCTAAATTCCTCACAAAGTGCCTTTTGCTCATTTTCTCTTGTTTGTCCATAATGAAGATCATAGATCACATAATACAGTTGGAAAAACTTTAAAGATTATCTAGGTCAGTGATATGAAACTTTTTATTTTGAGAAGTTGATTCCTTTATTTAAACAAAACTTTGAACAGAGCATAAAATCATAAAACAGCAAAGACAACAAAAAAATCTGCTTCTCTAATTGAAGTCCAGAGTCCTGGTCACTTAACATCTCTTAATCAGTTTCTAGTCCCAAGAGTAGGCCTCCAGATACCTCTATGAAGTGCTAGATATTTGGTTTAAAACTTCTGGTTATTGAATCAACTTTTCATATTACAGATAGGAAAACTAAAGCTAGAAAGATTGTGTCATATCCAAAGCCACACAGACATGTAGCTGGAGAATCTATTTCAGTAAATATTTATTGAGCATCTATTATGTATGAGTTTGGCTAACAAAAATGTTATAGCAAGCCTCTTAATATAGGTAGAAAAAAAAGTCACATTTTTTGTTTACAATAGCCAAGTCTTCCATTTCATTCATGTCCATTTCTAAATAATAATAAATGGTTAAAGTCTTGGTTTCCACAGTGGATCTAAAAGTTAAATTTAACTGAGTTCAAAGCCATGTTAGGTCCTAGTTCACAGTCAGAGCCTCTTGTGAAGGTGTGTGGCAGCTCTGTTTGTGTACCTTGAATTCCTATAACTCTCACTCTCATCAAACACAGGAGAAAATGTCGGTTTCTTAGATGAGCTCACTCTCTCACTCCTTCTGCTGGAAATTCATTTCTATTTCATGCAAATTGGGATTCATTGCATAAAAAAAATTACAAAGGATAAGGTAATATTAATCCAGCTGCCCCAGCATTGGGTGGTCATGTGGCTGCTTAGGTGTAATAAGTTGACTTTCCCCACACATGTGGATGACTTCAATCCATGGGCATCCACTCAGCATCTATTGTTGCCCACAACAATAGAATATCATCGCCATATCACTGAGAAATGCATATGCTGTTAGGGGGTTAGAAAATGTTCACAGACAAAATAAGTGGAAGATGCTATTACTATGTAACAAAGCATTTTTTTCTTTTTTCTTTTCTTTCCTTTTTTTTTTTTTTTTAGACAGAGTCTCATTCTGTCCTCCAGGCTGGAGTGCAGTGGTGCGATATTGGCTCACTGCAACCTCCACCTCCTAGGCTCAAGTGATTCTCCTGCCTCAGCCTCTCGAGTAGCTGGGACTACAGGTGCCCACCACCACGCTCGGCTAATTTCTTGTTTGTTTGTATTTTTAGTACAGGAGGGGTTTCACCATGTTGGCTAGTCTGGTCTTGAATTCCTGATCTCAGGTAACCCACCCTCCTCGTTCTCCCAAAGTGCTGGGATTACAAGCATGAGCCACTGCACCTGGCCTATGTAATTTAATTACATTAAATTATGTAATGTGAGCTCTAACTGTTAATGGAGCTTGAAAATGGCACTAATCAGTATATATTAGAGTAAATGGTAGAAGTCTTCCATGGGGAGCAAATGTCAATGAGCGTCTTGAAAGGTAAAGTTAAATTTGAATTGTATGGGTGGATAGTGGTCAAGGGAAGTAGGTGTCATTTCTGAATGTGGGTATGATACAGACAAAGACATTACATATGTTAACAAGCATATTTTCATAGTAACTAAAATGAGTTGAGCACCTAAAGTGGGTTAGGCTTTGTATTTATCACTTGACAGTGTGACCTTATGAGGAGGAACTGATATTATCCATATTTCACAAGTGAAGAACCATAAGTAGTTAAGTAACTTGTGTGAGACCATATAATTGATGAATTATGGAACTCACATTTGAACATAGGTCTCTATGATACCAAAGCCAATGTTATTAAACAAAGCTCCCTAATCTGTTTAGAAACATATAGGAAATAATGAGAAGAATATGATGGTCTGGGGGAAGAGTGATAAGGGGGTGGATGGGTAAGATGGAGTTAGCATAGGTTAGTGGTTCTCAACCAGGGGCAATTTTGTCCCCCAGAAATATGGCAATTTCTGGAGATATTTATGGTTGTTACAACTTGGAGCAAGGGCTGTTTCTGGCATTTGTGGATAAAGACCAGGGATTCTGCTCATCATTATATAATGCACAAGGCACAACCCACAACAAAAAATTATTTGCCCCTATATATCAATAGTGCTGAGAAACAGCATAGATAGCTTGAAGAGTCTGGACTTATTTCTTTGGGTAGTGAGTCCTTGACTATAGGACTGAAAAGGCCCAAGTGGCCTTCCAGGCTTGACATCTCACGTGAACCATCACCTAGTTCCTCAAAGCAGACTCATCATTCCCTCCAAACTGACCCATTTCCAGTGTTTCCTTAAAAATCTTTCATCTTCCTGCCCATCTCCAGATCTAACTTCAGCAGTCCACGGAGCTGCCTTTGTCTTCTACCTGGAGTATTACAATGATCTCTCATTAGGCCTGTCTTCTTCCACGTTGAGTCCCCATTAGGAAGCTCTAGAGAACTTCTGGAGAACAGCTGGAGAAGTTCTCACAAAAAAAGTAAATCTGACCAAATCACTTGATGCATAAAGCTCCCCAAAGTCTTTCCACTGTCCGAACTAGAGGACCTGGCATGATCTTTTGTGCCTCAAATCTTTTCCCTCTGTCTTCCTCTCTGTCTTTCATTTCCTTTAAAGTGCTCCTCTTCTTTTCCTCTAGGTTATAGAGCACCTATTTCTTTGCCTGTAAACTTAGCTTTGGCCCCATCCTACATTTCTCATTCTTTTCATCCTAATAATGCCTCTTGATCCTTCAGATTCCAGCTTAAACATCACTTCCTCAGAGAGGACTAAGTCTTAACATACTACTCTGTATTTTCTCCTTCCTAATGCTTCTCATACTTGTAATTATTAGATTAATATCTATCTTCCTTGATGAACTGTCAACTTTATGTAGATGGTGACTGTTTCTGTCTAGGTCAGTGCCATCCTCAGGAATTAGTAGGAGCTCAATAAATATTTGTTGAATTAACCAAAAAATAAACACAGTCCTGGACTATGTAGGACACAGAGTAGAACAAGAAATATTCAATAAATGTTTGTTGAATTAACCAAAAAATAAACACAGTCCTGGACTGTGTAGGACACAGAGCAGAACAAGAAATATGCTTAATTCCCCACCCATGGCATGGTCCCACATCTCAAAATGTGTGTGGCATGGGTAGGAATGAGAGTAACAACAGAAGTTTCTCATCCAAGGACAAGGAATACTAGGTAAATGAAGAATTCAGGCAGATGAAAGATTTGGATAATTAATGGTGAACATCTCTGAAGGACCATACTATAAGCTATAATATCCTGAACAAAGCTTTTCCTCTCCCTTCAGCTTGGCTTGTTAAAATAAGCACTATTTGCTGATTATGAACTTTCCAGCCATGTAGAATATAGACAGTATCATACAATTCTTTATACTTGAACAGGAGAAGATACAGACAAGGTACAGAACATTCTCCTGCAAAGCAGCAAACCACTAAAATATCATTTTTAACGAAAGAACAAGAACTTCCCATATTTTCTCTATGAGAAGGTCAAATCTCCTTTAAACTTTTACTTTTTTGCTGCTACTAATTCCTAGCCTTTCTTTTGAATAACTTTCCTATTTCAAGACTAAATTTGCCACCACTTAACAAAGATAAATTGGTAACACCCTTACCTGAAATTTGCTGACACCCCACATACCAAATCCCCTGGGTAGTATGCAGAAAATATGTGTATGTATGTGTGCATGTATCTATTTATTTACTGGGAGGCAAAGAAGTAGTCCACTATAGTTTCATTTGTGTGTGTTTGTAATTGTCTCTACTGATCTTTAATTTCACTCTTGTGAAAATTCAAGTCTCATTACTAGGAACTTGATTAATTGGACTTTAGCTCTAAATGACAAATTACACCTGAAAAATACCTTATTTGAAGGCAACTTTTGTTCAGTTCTATAAAAGATAACAAATAGCTCAATTCTCTGTTCTCTGTTTTTGAAGAATGAGTGTACCTTTACAATTGTAAGTTTTACATTATAGAATTATTATTCTTATGGAACTAGGCATAGGGCCAGTTCTAAAGACATTCTATACAGGCAATTTCATTTTTCCTTTCCTCCCTCCCTCTCTCTCTTTTTTCTTTCTTCCATCCTTCCTACAAATACACATTGACTCTCTACTCTGGACCAGACACTGTTCTATCCAGACCCTGGAGATTCAGGAGAGAATTACATACAAATTCCTAGAACTCATAGAAGTTAAATTCTTTTTTTTTTTTTTCCAACTTTTATTTTAAGTTGTAGGATACATGTGCAAGATGTGCAGATTTGTTACATAGGCAAACATGTGCTATGGTGGTTTTCTGTGAAGATCATTCCTTCACCTAGGTATTAAGCCCAGCATCCATTAGCTATTCTTTTTGATGCTCTGCCTCCTACCCACTTCAACCTCTGACAGGTCCCAGTGTGTGTTGTTTCCCACACGTGTTCATGTGTTCTCATCATTTCCCTCCCACTTATAAGTGAGAATATGCAGTATTTTGTGTTCTGTTTCTGTAGTAGTTTGCTGAGAATAATGGCTGCCAGCTCCATCCATATCCCTGCAAAAGATATGATCTTGTTCCTTTTTATAGCTGCATAGTATGGCTGCATCATCTCAGCCCAGAAGTTAAATTCTAATGAGAGAAATAAAATAAGGACATAATGAAATAAATGAAATATTAAAACAGTATAGTTTTAACAAAATAAAGAAAAATGACAAGGCTAAGCTGATCATAGCAAGATATGAGAGAAGGGTGTTTCATTCAGAGAGACCAGCAAAGTCAAAGACCTTTTGCTAGAACCCAGCTTGGTATATTTGTGGAAAACAAATAAGGCCAGTGTGGCTAGAGCGGAGTGAACCTGGGGATGTGGGTGGTTTGAGGAGAACGATTGCCACTAGGTGGGCCTGCAGGTAAAGACAAGGCCTGATCTTGCAAGACTGTGAGGGCTATTATCAGGAATTTTTTTTTTTGAGAGTAATATTGCGAAAACATTGAGTGAGTTTTAAGCAGAAGGGTGATACACACATTTTTGTATTTTAAAAGTTCATTCTGGTTTATGCATGGAGAATATGGAGGATAAACTTAAGAAAGTTGCAATATTGGAGTCAGAAGATCTTTTATGCTGCAACGTCCCAGGCTAGAGCTGATGGTGACCTAGACCAGGTAATAACAGTGTAGACAGAGAGATATGGATTAATTGGCATATTAAAGGGCTGCTGTGCTACACAATTGGGGTAGGATAGATAGCACCTCCTGAAACATAACTCTTTTGTATATGAGGAGGTTCATTCCCCTTTAGAATCAAACAATAGTATTTCAAGGTTTGAAATGCATCTGAGTAACTATTTAGCCAATTCCCCAGGACTCTATATTTATTCCTAGTAAATTTCAACTTTTAGAATTATTTCCATTATTGCAACACATTGAGAATGTTTAGGATTCTAAAATAATCATACAAAATGTTGATTGCTTATCCCAGCTTTGCAGCATCTGCAAATTTGATTCAAATACAATCAATGCCCATATCCAACTCAAACGTAAAAATATTTACTGGGACTCAATTGAGGACAAGGCTGTGCGGCCAGATACTAGAAAATGCCTTCCTGTTTGACATCAGTGCTCTAATCCACACTCTAATTATGGTGATTTACCCGGTTAAAAATCCACCCAAACATACCGTCATTAGTTTTTCTTAATTATGGACATTTTAAGCATTAGAATTGGATTATGAGAGAATGTAGTTGGCTATGTAGGCCTTTTATGCTCATCACTTTAAACTTAGGCATCCCTTTCAATCTTATGCAATAATATTAAGTAACTTCTAGTCTAGGGACTGGTTGAGCCAACAGGGAGTAAAGAGTTTAGGAAGTGAAGAGGCTAAAAGGAAGGGATTACTAACTTTTCTTTTTTCTATTCTGTAAGAATGTTATGTGCTCCTTTCTGCATTGGCTGCTAGGAAGCTCAACAACTATATTAATTAAGATTTTTGAAATATATCTTTATATATAGGGTCTTTACCAATTTATTTTCCATTTTATAAACATCTTTTATTAGTACCTTTTATCATAATCCACTTTAAAGTATTTTGTGTATCTGATACTTTTAAGTAGACTTCTACTTTGATAACTATTTAAAATATGTGTACCTAAATATCAAATAATGCACACAAATGGTATATGCATAATTTCATTCTTCAGAGCTAAAATTAATAAAATTTCAATTTTCCTGCAATTTTAAAGTTGATATAATTTCAACATCTCCTCTACATCTCTAATGAATGAATTTAATAGTCTTGATTCCCAATCAACTAGAATAAAGGGCAAGGTGGCTTTCCAAATGGCCAATGGCAGATTTCTTTACAAATGTGTATATGTGTGTGCACACAGTATGTTTGTAAAAAGCTTCACCAAAGACCGCATTAGCTTGAAATGTTATTCATTGTACAGCAACCACTGTCTGAAATATGAAGTCTAGATTTGGCACTCCAAAGCTAGCTTAGAGCTGTCAATATACGTCTTCAAACTGTGGATGGTTGGAAAGTTGGGTTAATAAAAGGCAGCCTGTAAATTATGAATTAAAATGTACTCATAGTGAATGACAGTGCTTTAAACATTGGAAGAGAGTGATCATTCTCCTTTGGGTCTTCTTCATTTTAAAAAGCTCCAGTATAGCAGAGAGGTTAACAGCTTCAGAGAGTCAAATATGTAAATAATCCCAAGTTTGACCCCACTTTATAGATATAATCTACTTTGAGCATCTCCTTAATAACTCTAGGTCCTGAAAGCCCAGGCTCTTTGCTATTGGGAGGATTTGATGAGACGATGCAAACAAAGCACTTAAACAGCTGAATGGCACATCGTGAGTGCTTAATATGTAGTGGCCGTCATTGTTCTTATGATATTCCCTTCTCCATTGCTCATATGATGTGGTTTTGAGAGTGCCTTCATCAATCTGGCTTGCTCTCATCTGAAGGAACTCTGTTTGTTGAATTGGACACCTCTGGTGGACACCTTACATCCTCTCTGACTTACCTCTGATACCAGTCCTACCACAAACAGTTCTATGCAGCTTTGATTCACTTTCAGCTGACAGCACCGCTCCTTAAGTTTGTGCTGTGTCTCTCACATCTTGTGCTGGGGCTTCTCTGATGCCGCTGAATCCCTAGGCCCCTACTTGCCACACACACATGTGCAACCCAGAAGTACAGTGCTGATAACCATAAGACGTCACCTCTGATTGATGGGAGTACAGGAACAATGTGTAGATATAAATGCTTTCCCTTTTATTTATCAGGCAAATGGTTCTGGGAGCAGTTCATAAGGTCTGATCCCATAACCAGTCTCTTTCACTGGTGGCCTGCTCAATAACTTTCTCTTACTGGTTTATCCTTTCCCTGTTCATGGTCTTGTCTCTTAGTGAACAACTTGCTTTTAAGCTTTAGTTTTAGATGCTCCTTTCAGAATACACCAGGATGATATAAATATTTGCAACACATTTTTAGGCAGATTATCCCACAAACATAAACAGCTATTCTATGACTCAAATTAAGACAAACACAATCTTTACATCTTCTGACCTTCTGCAGCACTTACTATCAAAGCCACCGTTTAGAAGATCCTACCTATCTGTTCCTAGTTTATATGTGTCAGTTAAGTAATAATAGAAATAATAGTTAATTTATTGAACACTGATGAGGTCAGATTGCTTTCCATGTATGATCTTGTTTAATGCTGACACTAACGCTTTTAAATAGCTTCTATCATCTCAATATTAGAGAATATAAAATAGAGGATAAAGAGGTTAAATCATAGGCTCTAGGTCAAATCTCTAGCAAATTGCTGGCCTAGGACAAAATAAACACTTTTAACTACTACTTTTTTTTGTACCCAGCCACTATTTTTCTCTCTGTCACACACATGCATATTTATTTAATACTTGTCTGATTAAAGGGGTGTCCATGCAAGAATCCCAGAATATGAACTTTGAAAGAAATCTTAGTGGTCATCTCATCATTCCTTCTAACTTTATGGATGAAAAAACTGATGCTAAAAACATGATACAACTTGCCCAGAGATACAATAGTGGACAGGGAAAAATTTGAGATGAGACCGTGGAGCCCTTGATTCTCAAACACATTTTCTTTCAAAAGAGGTGTTTAACTCCAATCAAGAACTAATAATGCAAATATAGCAGGGTGTTTTTCTGGAGGCAAGAGTTTAGCTAGGGAATGAGTTAGCCTCCAATACCTTTGGATATGTATTGAAGATGTTCTTATATATGGAGACTCTGCTTTTCTGTGTGAAACAAGTATTGTGTATAAATCTATCTATAGATCCAAGGAGCAAGAAATATGGAAATAATACAGTATGAGCTGCTGCATACTGGCCTCTTAGACCAGGTGTAAACTTCTCAGCAAAGATGGTGAATTGAGGAAATCAAGAATTGTTTTAAAGTTGAACTTTGTGAGACTCTGAGTTCAAATGGTGTTGCTGAGGGGACCTGGAACAATCTCTAGGTTAAAGGGAGATTGTTTCCATTCAACCTGCATGAGCTCCTCTATGGCAGGTGGTTTGAGGAACAGCAGGGGATGGTACCCTTCATGTGGACATCCTTAGATGAGGAATCACCAGAATACGTCTAAACCTGAACAAGGAGGTGATGGGTCAAGAGAGAGGAAAGGAGAAGAGAACATGGCATCTACACTGTCAGTTCAAGAGGAGAGATGAATACTATGGAGGTTCCCACAGGCATATGGGTTTGAAAGAGCCTGAAAATCAGTTTATCAATGTAGTGTCACCTCATTTGTACACATGGAATGGCAAGACCTGAAGCAACATGAGTTCTATCATAAGGAATAAGAACACCTAGAGTTGCCTGTCTGACAAAAAGATCTGAGACCATTACAAGAAACGGGCACATTTTTTTTAATCTTTTCATTCTGGTAATTAAAAAGAAGCACACACATATCATCAGCAGATCTTTTCAAACCATTTCTTCTTACTATCTACTGAATTTCTGAAAAATATACTAGGAATATAAAACAAATGTAAGATTTTACTTTTAGCTCGTTTATAAAATATCAAGTGGGAATGACTCAAGCCAGTGCTCTCCAATCTCTTCCATGTTGTAACACATAAAATATGAACATATTTATATACATAGTGAGGTAATTGGAAAAAGTTAATTGGCCCAAGGCGATAGTTTCTACCCTAGGGCTAAGGGATCAAGACCTAGGCATACTGGTTAGAAAATTTGACTTGAGAAACAAGTGATGAAAGATAGGACAGCCTGTGGGTTACTGATGAAAGAATAAATTTAGTCCCCAGTTTCAGGACAAAGTGACTATCTTAGCACCAACTAATTTGAATGTGTGATCATTTGATTTTAGGCTATATGAAATTTATTGTTATACTACCAAAAGTATTAAAATATCTGATGGTGATGTGCCAGATGAATTGGTATGGAGGGAGATCAGAGGTGATGAAATTAATTAAAAGATTATTATGGGAATTCAGGTGAAAGGGAATAAAATGAAGGATTAGGAGCACATCTGATTCAACATCCCTCCTAGCACCTTGCACTTACAATCTTGATAAGTGTTTGTTTAGAAGATGAAGAATGGAGGTGTTGTTAAATACAGATTCTCTACTAAAATAATAACAATAATGAATAATAAGATAGTTATAGTAAAAATAGGCTGGGCATGGTGGCTCATACCTGTAATGCCAGCACTTTGGGAGGCCAAGGCTGGAGGATCACCTAAGGTTAAGAGTTCGAGACCAGCCTCTCCAATATGGTGAAACCCTGTCTGTACTAAAAATACACAAATTAGCCTGGGGTAATGGCCAGCACCTGTAATCCCAGCTACTCAGGAGGGTGAGGCAGAATTGCTTTAATCCAGGAGGTGGAGATTGCAGTGAGACGAGATCGCACCACTGCACTCCAGCCTCGGCTACAGAGTGAGACCCTGTCTCAAAAACAAAAAACAAAAAGATAGTTATAATAAAAATACTAATACCTTTTTATTGACCCTTTAGTATTATTTTACAATAAACTATATCCTGAGTGCTAGAACGAAGTCTGAGTGTTTGAAAGTATTACCAGCAGTAACATTTGTGATATGTTAAAGTGATGGTGAATATACACATAGTGAAATGAACAGCCATTTACATTGCTGGTGGGAGTGAAAATTGGTGAAAACACCTGAAAAGCAAATTGGTGGACTTTTGCCCCCAAAATTTCATTTATTGAAGTCTATATTAAATTTACTAGGGCTACCATAACAAAGTACCACAAACTGGGTGGCTTAAACAGCAGAAATTTATCTTTTCGTGGTAAAACAAATATGTTTTATTTCATTAGAGGCTAGAAGTTCAAGATCCAAGTGTCTATAAGGTTGGTTTCCTCTGAGGACTCTTTCCTTGGCTTGTATTTGGCTACCTTCTCCCTGTCTTCATATGGTCTTCCTTATGGGCGTCTGTACAGTCTAATTTCCTCTTCTTATAAAGACACCATTAATGTTGTATTAGAGCCCATTCTAATAACCTCATTTCAACTTAATGACCTATTTAAAATCTTCAAATATAGTCACTTTCTGAGTTAATAAGGATTAGGGCTTCAACATACAAATTTAAAGGAGACAGAATTCAACCCATAAAAGACTGTATCTTAAATGGTGAATGCTAAGAGTAAGTTCTTCATCACACTGTATATAATCGAGAAAGAAATCATCTAAAGTTTCATCAATAGGCACTTGATTAAATGAATTATGTTTCATTCATATTGTGAAATACAAGGCAACCATTTAAGAGAAAAAAATCAAAACACTATATGTTAAACTATCTCTAAACATACTGCTAAATAGGAACGAAAGCACAAGACTCAATATGTAGGATATGTTTTTGTAAATAAATACACATAGACTTACATATACACCTATGAGAATGTAAGGAAAGAGTATTAGAAGGACATGCATAAAAGAGTTGACTGAATTACCTGTGGGCACAGGTGAATAGTGGAGGTGGACAGTACAGCTTTCTTGTTTTGCACTGTAGTTTTTGAGTAGAGGGATGTATTAGTCAGTGTTCTCTAGAGGGACAGAACTAATAGGAGACATGTATATATGAAGGGGAGTTTATTAGGAGAATTGACTCACATGACACAAGGTGAAGTCCTACAATAGGCCATCTGCAAGCTGAGGAGCAAGGAAACCAGTCTGAGTCCCAAAACCTCAAAAGTAGGGAAGCTGACAGTGCAGCCTTCAGTCTGTGGTTGAAGGCCTGAGAGCCCCTGGCAAACCACTGGTGTAAGTCCAAGAGTCCAAAAGCTGAAGAACTTGGAGTCTGATGTTCAAGGGCATGAAGCATCCAGCACAGCAGAAAGATGGTGACTGGAAGACTCAGCAAGTCGGCTTCTCCCACCTTCTTCATGCTTTATTCTAGCCACTCTGACAGTTGATTAGATGGTGCCCACCCACATTGAGGTTGGGTCTGCCTCTCTTAGTTTACTGATTCAAATGTTAATCTCTTTGGCAACACCCTCAGAGATACACCCAGGAACAACACTTTGCATCCTTCAATCCAATCAAGTTGACACTTAATGTTAGCCATCACAAGAGATAAAAAACAAACAAACAAACATTTGTTTAGCATGTGCTATGGGCTAAACACTCTTCTGAACACCTTAGATGTATCAAGTCATGATTCTCACAACCACCCTGAACTATGTACTATTATCATCCTCAAATTATAATGAAGAAACTAAGGCAGACAGATAATCCACCTGCCAAGGTCATGCAGCTGGTCAATGGCAGAGCTGACTGGAGCCCAGGCAGTCTGGCTTTTGAGCCTGTATCCTTAACTACCATAAATACAGCCTGCTGATGCCAATGTACTAATTCTCTAAAATTTGTGTGAAAATTAATAAACTCATGTATCTTTATATATTCTCTCATTTGGGTTTTGACAATCTGACCTTCTACACATTGAGACTGGAGGAATACGAGGTGATATACACTTTTATTTTCCCCCTAGATGTCAGTGTAGTTTAATAGAAAGAGCTCATCTAGGTGTCTCAGTACCAGGAAACCAGCTTCGAGGCTTGATTCCACCATCATGTAGGAGCCACACACTATACATCTCTCTAGAACTCCCTCTCCCTATCAGGTCAATGCAATAGTGATAGCTACTGGACCTGTCTCTTCAGCACTACCATGAGGATCAAGTAGAGTCTTGCATCTGAAACTCATTCACGGAACACTGCCTGTGTATACTCAGCCTTTTTTTTTAATACTTTAAGTTCTGGGATACATGTGCCGAACATGCAGATTTGTTACATAAGTATACACGAGCCATGGTGGTTTGCTGCACCCATCAACCCAGCATCTACATTAGGTATTTCTCCTAATGCTATCCCTCCCCTAGCCCCACCCCATGACAGGCACCGGTGGGTGATGTTCCCTTCCCTTTGTCCATGTGTTCTTATTGTTCAACTCCCACTTATGAGTGAGATCATGCGGAGTTTGGTTTTCTGTTCCTGTGTTATTTTTCTGTGGTGAATGCATCTCAAATTTCCAGAAGTCCACTGAAGAAAAATGAATATTTGAATACAATACAAACACATGGAGGTTTGTAGGTGAAAATAAAATCTTGTGAAGTAACTTGATGGATGCCTTAGATCTTTGAAATAATTTGATGAGTGCATTAGATGAGACCATCACAAAACGAGGGGCTTGCAGGCACTGTCCCAGATTTTGTCATCTAGCTTATATTCCTAGCTTATTATTCACCCCCACTATAGTGCTTGGGTAAGAGTAGGGAGGGGATGTCAGAAAATGATTGTTGAATGAATGTGGGAGATTAAAAAATAAGAGATATTGTCTCTGCTCTGAAAATGTTTTCCAAATAGTGAGATAAACACAACTGAGAGATGAATAATTACGTTGGTAAGGACGATGAATCTTGTCAAGATTAAGAAGAATGAGAAGGGCAGAGCAATGTAATAGGACCATATAATCAAAAACGCTGGACCTGGGAAGAAACCTACAAATCATAAGCCAGTGGTGTTTTGTGTTCTACGGAATCTTAAAAGTCTGTGGACCATCATATAGGTAGGAAAGGCTCTCCAGGTGACACACGTTCAGTAAGACAACCTATGTGTTTTTTCTATTGAATATTAGTCTTCCTGGAAATATTTTTTGAATAAAGTTCTCTTGACTAAAAGAAAATTTGAAATCCACCTAATGACAATTCAAATTTATTTTATTAACAGAGGAGTAAATTGAGGGAAAATCACTGTATCTGAGGTCCTGCAGAGAGTTCAAACTGTTTCCCTATAGATACAGAAAGGGAACTGAGTCATGTATGTAAAATACAATTTTTAATAAAGGAAACAAAAAAACACAAGCTAAAACCCCATAACAGAAAATGCATTGCAGTGTGTGAAGTGTGAAATAATGAGTTAAGATGAACAAACAAATTTGTAAGTCTTTTCTTTTAAATAATTAGTTATATTTTGGACCACATTTTAACCAAAATCTCTAATATATAATAGCATATGGAGAAGTGTTGGATTGGACCAAAAGAGGAAGGATTCAGACTGCCCAAAAAGAGGTGAAATAGTCTGCCCAGGAAGAAGCAGCACATTTTGATCTTTTTCTTGCCTGCTGATGAAGGGTATGTTATGATTACAGTAAAAACTTCTTACATAGTTATACCTTGTCTTGTTTGCTTTCAATTTAGAAAGATATTTTTCCCTTGTCCTCTATACCTATCAAAAATATGGAAATTTTTCTGTATGCAAATCCTTGCCTATGTTGTCTTGAAACTTTTATATCCATTTTTTGGGGGGGGCTAAGAAACTTCATGAAGATTAAAATGTTTATCTTTTATGCCTCTCAACACTTCCCAAGTATCATTTAGGTAAAATCCTGGACCAAAACAGAAAAGCCAATAGATCGCTTTTAGAAAGGATTTTGCAATTTTACAGCATCACTTGCCAAGGAAAATGGCTGAGTAAATACTATGTCCCAATGTAAATATAAACCGAGAATTGGTTTATCTCCTTCTAGGTCTTGGTTCATATGGCTGTGAGAGTTCCCAGAGGGCTCTCCTAAAATTGAAGATGAAGACAGAATTTGTTAGTCATCTCTTTCAAAAACTGTAAGCCAATATTTCCAAGATTATGAGTGATTTGTTAGCACCTAGCATGTAGGGATATACCTTGGGTGTCGAAGGCCCCAGTTTCCTAGCATCCCTAAATGACCTTAGATTTATTTGGAAATTCTATCACATAGGAGTATATTCAGTTGCAGGAAACAGAAAGCGCTATTTCAATGGCTTGAAAAAATAGAAGTTTAATTATCTCATTCTACAAGAAGTTAGAAGGTAGGCAATCCAGGGCTACTATAGCAGTTTTATAACTTTTTGTCTTCACGTATGTTGTCTCTTGGTTACAAAATGGCTGTACAACCAAGCCTCATTTCCACCCTGTACGCAGAAAAAAGGAAGTAAATGTCTATTTCCAGTGAGATTTATCTTTGTATCCAGAAAAAAAAAAGCCCTGTCAAAGGACTTTTTCCTAATCTCATTGTCTATTCATGTGTAACAGGGCTAACAGTGTGTGTAAGTAAGAGCAAGTAATCAAGAATTTTAGCATTCCATATTCTGTAGTGCAGAAAGGTGAGAGAGAAGTTTGTTGCAGATAATATTGGATAGCCAATTCATAGTTCATTCCATAGGAAGCTCAACTTGGAAACCAAAGTTGCATAAAGTTTTAGGTACACCACCAATATATGTCAATCTAAACATTCTCATTATTTTCTGTGCATAAGTGCTAGATGGTTTTGCCAAGTATCCCCTCAAAATTAACCTGTATCAAAGTCTGCAAAATAACTAAGTGACTAATATCTGTGAGATTTTATACTAAGTCAATAGTCATTAATATAGACTTTATGTTTTGCCCCTCCATAGTAAACATCTATCTATTTTGCTACCAGAATACATTCCTGCTTCTTCTGGCAAGAGAAAATCAAATATTTATTTGGGGAGCCAAACCACTCACACCTTATTCCACATGGTTGACATGGGGCTTAATCCATTTCTGCAGGAACCAGTGAGTCATGAAAAAGTCAATCAGCACACGGCTTTCTCTTGGATTGATTAGGTTGATTGATTTCTCACATTAGCTGGCATGTGACCTAATTTGGGCTAATGGGAGATGAACCTCAGACTCTGGTTGGTACTGCTGAGGAAGGGAAACTACCTTTTCTATTATCCTAGAGCTGTACTTATCTAAAGTCAAAAATACTGGGGAACACTACATAGAGAGAGTCTTCCTAAACATGGCACCAACCTGTCGGAAAGCAGAACAGAAAGATGTGGAAAGAAAGACTACACTCTGATGGTATATTTTTGAGCCCCTGGATCCAGCCATGTTTGATACCAGTGTATCTCTAACTTCACAGTTACGTCAACCAATAAATAAACTATACAGTTATGTCAACCAACCTCATCTTTTTTATTTTTGCTTAATCCAGTTTAAGTTTCTATCGCTTTGATGTGCTTGGCTCTGTGTCCCCACCCAAATCTCATCTTGTATCTCCCATAATTCCCATGTGTTGTGGGAGGGACCCAGTGGGAGATGATTGAATCATGGGGATGTGTCTTTCCTGTGCTATTCTTGTGATAGTGAATGGGTCTCATGAGATTTGATGGTTTTAAAAATGGGAGTTTCTCTGTACAAGCTCTCTCTTTGCCTGCTACCATCCACGTAAGATGTGACTTAATCCTCCTTGCCTTCCTCCATGATTGTGAGCCCTCCCCAGCCATGTGGAACTGTAAGTCCTCTTTCTTTTGTAAATTGCCCAGTTTTGGGTATGTCTTTATCAGCAGCATGAAAATGGACTAATACACTCCTTCCACTAACAATACCTGAATAATAAACTATCTCAAGGACATTTTCTCTGTCAAAGTAGACTGTATCCTTACTCAGAAAAATAAACCTCTATTGGTGAAAATCTAAGCACCAGGTCATACCAGCATGAGAAGTATATTTAAGTCCTTTAAATCACATTATATATGTGACCAAATACATGTCCATAAGTAGATATGAAAAAAATAAGGTATTGTGGCTTACTAACTGGTGGAAAGGATGATCAGGGACAAGAGTTCTAGTGCTAATTCTACAAACAACTTCATCTTGTGAGCCTGTTTAAGAAACTTCACCTTTCTGAAACTTAGCACTTTCATTTCTGAAATTGGGTTCATAACACCTGTTATGTCAAACTGCCAATTGAGGCTCAAAAGAGACAATACATGTCATATCCCTATGTAAAGATATAATACCATACAAGCAAAACACATTGTCAATGACAGGGGTCATCAAACTACAGCCCGGAAGCCAAATCTGGTCTGCCACTTGTTGTTGTAAATAAAATATTATTGAAATAAAGCCATGCTCAATTTTAAAATTATTGTCAATGGCTGCTTCTGTGCTAAAATGAGGAGTTTCAGCATAAACCATATGGTCTACAATTCCTAAATATTTACTATCTGGGTCTTTACATTAAAGGTTTACTGATCCACAATCTAGAATTGAGACAACTCTTTTAGTAACACTTAAGAGAAAAGCTCTCACATCCAATCAATATCCACTGAAAGATTAGTGAGTATTCACTTTGCTGCTTTCTTTTTCATTTTCACTTCTTTCAACTATGGTTTTAATAGCATCAACACTGAAAAACTGAGTAGCACAGAAAAATGGAAATGGGGAGAAATTTTAAAAAATATTCTTTTTACATATGCATTGCACACAGCTGTTGAACTAAAAATTGACCATTATTCTATTGGAACAAAAGCATTTTGGACAGCTAGATTGGTGCTTCAAAATGTACGCAAAAAAAAAAAAAAATGTCTCAAGTTGGAATCCAAAGAATAACTTCTGCTGTGTCAGCTTGTGTATCACATCAGCTGTTTGCATGTGGTTGAGTGAGTTGGATTATTTGCTCAAATAGTCTTGTCCTCAGGAATTCATGAAGGGAAAGATAGAATTAGAGTATTTGCCCTTTAGAATGGGTCACTTAGTACAACTCTGCATTATATGATTATTTTTTGATACAAAAGTGTATACCGAGGGCTCTAATATGGGCCTGACATTGTGCCAGGGAGTGGAGTTAAGATTTTTGACAAGACAGAATGGTTGCTCATGATCCCTGACCTGATGGTCCTTACATTCTAATGGGGGACACAGCTTTTGTTTAATTTCTGCTTGGTCTTGACATGCCATTAATTAGCTTTTTCTTTAATACAGCTAGCAATGGGGAGGACATTTCTGGGTTGAATAGATGTAATCATTAGAGAAGTTATTATTAATCTGAAATAAGCTTTCTTACAGCATCCCTTTCTTTGTCCTCGTGGTATACTCAGTCATACCAGGTCATATATACTGCCTTTTTCACTTAACAGTCTTTTAGAGAGTGAGAGTTCTCATGGTCCATCGTTTATGTCCAAGCTAAAAAATTCATAATTCTTCTGTCTATGTCAGGATTTTAATTGATAGTCTATTAAATATTAACCCATGTTATTTCCATTCTGAATTATGCTAAGTGTATGCAAAAGTGAAAATTTGTAGCAAAAGGCCTGTGAGGTCAAAATTAATTTATTTTCCCTCTAACTGTGAGAGGAATAATACATAACAATTTCTTATTAGGTCTCCTTCTAACTCTAAGAAACTCATCTGATTATTCACATAAACCCTAAAAATTGGCAAAAATTCCTAGCTTGAAAAATTGAATTGGGGGAATATAAGAAGTTTTGGTTTTCAGAAATTTCTAATTAATGAAATGTCAGATAACATGGCTTTTTATACTTTAATGTTTTGCCTGAAAGTGTTTTGAGTTGCTTTGTAAATGATCCCTTGTGACAGCAAATGAATTTATTTTAGGTAATATTATCCCACAGAAAGAAAAGGCATGGGATCACAATATGCTACAAGTATACTGAAATTCGTGTAATCATCTCCACCTTTGCCTTATTTTAAATGATTTATTGATTTTAAAAATAATACACATCTTTAAAACCATGCCATTGCATCCAGGAACAGGTCAAGTAATTTCTTTACTCCCACAGTGCCTGACAGGATTACTTTCTGTTCTGTTTAATTTTTGCCTCATAGGGCCAGTTTGAATCACCGATTTCAATAGCCTTTGAAAAGCACTTAAGATACAATGTTTTGACCTTGTAATATATTTTATTCCATGGTCTTGATGGTAAGTAGGAGATGTCACAATGGCTATCCAATCATCCTGATTATCACTCCCACACGCAAAAGATCCTTGAGCTTTTCTATAGCTGTTTTCCCAAACAAAAAACAAGTGCAATAGTGTTGCAGTTACTTAACAAACCAACATAAAACTTAGTGGCTTAAAACAACATTTATTCACCCCCAAACCATTATTATGGGCTGGACTTGGAGACTGCTCTGGGAGTCAGCTGGGAAAGTTCAAACTTTAGAAGGTGGAAGGAACTGAAAGCTTGTTCACTCTCATATCTGGTGCCTAAGCTAAGAAGAGTCACGATTTTGGGGGCTGTAACACTTGGGGCTTCTCTATTGCTGTGTAGTATTATGTAGTCTCACCACATGATCACTCTGTCATGGAAGCTTCAGGACACTCATATTTCTTACCTGTAGTCTCAGTGCCCCCAAGGTACATATCCTAAGAGAATGAGCTAGGTGGATCCTCTAATCCCCTTTATGGGCTAGCCTCAGAAGTCATGCAACATCACTTTCATTCGCACCACAAGCCCACCCAGATTTAAGAGGAGAGAATAGTTTCCAACTCTTGATGAAGAAATCTCAAGACCACATTTTAAGAACATGTGGGATGGTAGATATAGGTGTGGACTACTTTAGAAATGCAATCACTTACAGACAGAACAGGAGCTCTATACCAGCTCTTGCTGTTGAGAACATTTTGCATTTTGGAAACTCATTTAAACTAGAATGTAGAATTGAGAGAAGTTTTTTTAAGGTCACTTCTCATAGTTTTTTCTTCTCTCTTGGTCTATTGGTTTATAATGTGAGGGGACAGCACCCTTCTCAACCTCTACTCATCTCTCATTCTGTAACTTTCTTAGCCCCCTTTCTCTTCACTTCCCAATGCTCCCACTGAACTAGAACTTCTACTTAGACCCTCCCTACCATCCCGCTGCTCCTATCTTTTCAGCACCACGTTTCCTTATTCTCAGTTTCAGCCCTAGCCTTCCTCCAGCTTTGGAGTCCCTCGGCTACCCCCATACTGATCCTGTTCAAGCTCCACTCTTACTCCACCCCTACCAGAACTTGCAGTGGTAGCCCCAGTTTCAACCAGATACTTCAAGTCCACCATTCCCTCCACTGCTCACATTATCTTTTTTCCAGATATATTTCTAATACTGTTAGGACCTTGATAAAAAAAAATAGACCCATATCTCTCTACCTGGCTCTGGAATTTGTAGTATCAGCCCTCTAACTAGGGTGGGGGTGCAGGGGCATGTCTTTCTCACTATGACTATGATCCTTGTTTACATGTTTACATTTTTTTTTTCATTTTTCTGTCTTCCTTATCTGGTATTTTTGTTTCAACCATTTTAATTTCAAAAAGTCCATCACTGTCATCTCGTAAATGTTGCATAACATTTTATTTAATTAGTTAATCATTAATGGGTTTAGGTTGCTTTCAATTTAGTGCAATTGTAAACAATATTGCAATAAAAACTTGTGTATGTAGATCTTTGCATATTTGTCTTGGGTTCTATTTCTGGGAGAAAAACCAAGAGAGATTTTTATTCAGATGGTTTATTGAGAGTACTCTTGGGAATAATACCTGTAAGGAAGTGAGGAACTTAATGCAGTCACTACAGAGGCTTCAGCCAATTGCAAAAACCTATGAACCTTGGATGGCCAAGAGTATGTATTCCTCCACGCACTAGTCACTGGGTATGGGATACCCCTGGGGGAAGAACATAACTTGGGTGAAGCAGCTCACGTTTGTTGAGGGCAGTTCCTGGGGAAGAGCACAGCATAATTCGCTAGCAGGAAACACTATTTTTTAAAAAAATTTTTATACTTTAAGTTTTAGGGTACATGTGCACAACGTGCAGGTTTGTTACATATGTATACATGTGCCATGTTGGTGTGCTGCACCCATTAACTCGTCATTTAACATTAGGTATATCTCCTAATGCTATCCCTCCCCCCTCCCCCCACCCCACAACAGTCCCCAGAGTGCGATGTTCCCCTTCCTGTGTCCATGTATTCTCATTGTTCAATTCCCACGTATGAGTGAGAACATGCGGTGTTTGGTTTTTTGTTCTTGCGATAGTTTGCTGAGAATGATGGTTTCCAGCTTCATCCATGTCCCTACAAAGGACATGAACTCATCCTTTTTTATGACTGCATAGTATTGCATGGTGTATGTGTGCCACGTTTTCTTAATCCAGTCTATCATTGTTGGGCATTTGGGTTGGTTCCAAGTCTTTGCTATTGTGAATGGTGCCGCAATAAACATACATGTTCATGTGTCTTTATAGCAGCATGATTTATAATCCTTTGGGTATATACCCAGTAATGGGATGGCTGGGTCAATTGGTATTTCTAGTTCTAGATCCCTGAGGAATTGCCACACTGCCTTCCACAATGGTTGAACTAGTTTACAGTTCCACCAACAGTGTAAAAGTGTTCCTATTTCTCCACATCCTCTCCAGCACCTGTTGTTTCCTGACTTTTTAATGATCACCATTCTAACTGGTGTGAGACAATATCTCATTGTGGTTTTGATTTGCATTTCTCTGATGGCCAGTGATGATGAGCATTTTTTCACGTGTCTGTTGGCTGCATAAATGTCTTCTTTTGAGAAGTGTCTGTTGATATCCTTCTCCCACTTTTTGATGGGGTTGTGTTTTTTTCTTGTAAATTTGTTTGAGTTCATTGTAGATTCTGGATATTAGCCCTTTGTCAGATGAGTAGGTTGTGAAAATTTTCTCCCATTCTGTAGGTTTCCTGTTCACTCTGATGGTAGTTTCTTTTGCTGTGCAGAAGCTCTTTAGTTTAATTAGATCCCATTTGTCAATTTTGGCTTTTGTTGCCATTGCTTTTGGTGTTTTAGACATGAAGTCCTTGCCCATGCCTATGTCCTGAATGGTATTGCCTAGGTTTTCTTCTAGGGTTTTTATGGTTTTAGGTCTAACATGTAAGTCTTTAATCCATCTTCAATCAATTTTTGTATAAGGTGTAAGGAAGAGATCCAGTTTCAGCTTTCTACATGTGGCTAGCCAGTTTTCCCAGCACCATTTATTAAATAGTGAATCCTTTCCCCATTTCTTGTTTTTGTCAGGTTTGTCAAAGATCAGATAGTTGTAGAAATGCGGCATTATTTCTAAGGGCTCTGTTCTATTCCATTTGTCTATATCTCTGTTTTGGTATCAGTACCATGCTGTTTTGGTTACTGTAGCCTTGTAGTATAGTTTGAAGTCAGGTAGCATGATGCCTCCAGCTTTGTTCTTTTGGCTTAGGATTGACTTGGCGATGCGGGCTCATTTTCCGTTCCATATGAACGTTAAAGTAGTTTTTTCCAATTCTGTGAAGAAAGGCATTGGTAGCTTGATGGGGATGGCATTGAATCTGTAAATTACCTTGGGCAGTATGGCCATGTTCACGATATTGATCCTTCCTACCCATGAGCATGGAATGTTCTTCCATTTCTTTGTATCCTCTTTTATTTCATTGAGCAGTGGTTTGTAGTTCTCCTTGAAGAGGTCCTTCACATCCTTTGTAAGTTGGATTCCTAGGTATTTTATTCTCTTTGAAGCAATTGTGAATGGGAGTTCACTCATGATTTGGCTCTCCGTTTGTCTGTTATTGGTGTATAAGAATGCTTGTGATTTTTGCACATTGATTTTGTATCCTGATACTTTGCTGAAGTTGCTTATCAGCTTAAGGAGATTTTGGGCTGAGATGATGGGGTTTTCTAGATATACAATCATGTCATCTGCAAACAGGGACAATTTGACTTCCTCTTTTCCTAATTGAATGCCCTTTATTTCCTTCTCTTGCTTAATTGCCCTGGCCAGAACTTCCAACACTATGTTGAATAGGAGTGGTGAGAGAGGGCATCCCTGTCTTGTTTCAGTTTTCAAAGGGAATGTTTCCAGCTTTTGTCCATTCAGTATGATATTGGCTGTGGGTTTGTCATAGATAGCTCTTATTATTTTGAGATATGTCCCATCAATACTTAATTTATTGAGAGTTTGTAGCATGAAGGGCTGTTGAATTTTGTCAAAGGCCTTTTCTGCATCTATTGAGATAATCATGTGGTTTTTGTCGTTGGTTCTGTTTATATGCTGGATTACATTTATTGATTTTCATATGTTGAACCAGCCTTGCATCCCAGGGATGAAGCCCACTTGATCATGGTGGATAAGCCTTTTGATATGTTGCTGGATTCAGTTTGCCAGTATTTTATTGAGGGTTTTTGCATCAGTGTTCATCAAGGATGTTGGTCTAAAATTCTCTTTTTTTGTTGTGTCTCTGCCCGGCTTTGGTATCAGGATGATGCTGGCCTCATAAAATGAGTTAGGGAGGATTCCCTCTTTTTCTATTGATTGGAATAATTTCAGAAGGAATGGTACCAGCTCCTCCTTGTACCCCTGGTAGAAGTCAGCTGTGAATCCATCTGGTCCTGGACTTTTTTTGGTTGGTAAGCTATTAATTATTGCCTCCATTTCAGAGCCTGTTATTGGTCTATTCAGAGATTCAACTTCCTGGTTTTGTCTTGGGAGAGTGTATGTGTCGAGGATAAAACAGACTTTAAACCAATAAAGATCAAAAGAGACAAAGAAGGCCATTACATAATGGTAAACGGATCAACTCAACAAGAAGAACTAACTAACCTAAATATATATGCACCCAATACAGGAGCACCCAGATTCATAAAGCAAGTCCTTAGTGACCTACAAAGACAGACTCCCACACAATAATAATGGGAGACTTTAACACTCCACTGTCAACATTAGACAGATCAACGAGACAGAAAGTTAACAAAGACATCCAGGAATTGAACTCAGCTCTGCACCAAACGGACCTAATAGACATCTACAGAACTCTCCACCCCAAATCAACAGAATATACATTCTTTTCAGCACCACACCACACCTATTCCAAAACTGACCACATAGTTGGAAGTAAAGCACTCCTCAGCAAATGTAAAAGAACAGAACTTATAACAAACCGTCTCTCAGACCATAGTGCAATCAAACTAGAACTCAGGATTAAGAAACTCACTCAAAACCACTCAAATACATGGAAACTGAACAACCTGCTCCTGAATGACTACTGGGAACATCACGAAATGAAGGCAGAAATAAAGATGTTCTTTGAAACCAACGAGAACAAAGACACAACATACCAGAATCTCTGGGACACATTCAAAGTAGTGTCTAGAGGGAAATGTACAGGACTAAATGCCCACACGAGAAAGCAGGAAAGATCTAAAATTGACACCCTAACATCACAATTAAAAGAACTAGAGAAGCAAGAGCAAACACATTCAAAAGCTAGCAGAAGGCAAGAAATAACTAAAATCAGAGCAGAACTGAAGGAAATAGAGACACAAAAATCCCTTTAAAAAAATCAATGAATCCAGAAGCTGGTTTTTTGAAAGGATCAACAAAATTGATAGACCACTAGCAAGACTAATAAAGAAGAAAAGAGAGAAGAATCAAATAGACGCAATAAAAAATGACAAAGGGGTATCACCACCAATCCCACAGAAATACAAACTGCCATCAGAGAATACTATAAACACCTCTATGCAAATAAATTAGAAAATCTAGAAGAAATGGATAAATTCCTGGACACATACACTCTCCCAAGGAAACACTATTAACATAAGGGAAAATGAGTGCCTTTAAAGGGTGATATGGCAAAGTAACACAGTATATATGTGTTGGACAATGTTCCATTATCTTAGGATAAATTCAGAGAGGTAGATTTCCTAGGTCAACTGATAAGTTCATTTTAAAGCACAATTTGATAAAAAAAAAATTTGAATAAATGGAATTCTTTTAAATTTATTGAGACTTGTTTTATGCCCAAAATAAATTCAACCTCAATAAATACTTGAACATAATTATATTTGGCTGATGTTGAGTAGAATGTTCTGTAAATGTCAATTAGGTCAAGCTGTTTGAGAGTGTTGTTCAGACTTTTACATCTTGACTAATTTTTCTGACTTGTTGATCTTTCAGTTATTGGAAAAGGGTATTAAAATCATCAACTATAATTATAAATTTATCTATTTGTCTTGAAATTATCAGTTTTTGCTTTATCAGCTTTGAAACTCTGTTATTGGTATATAAATTTTCACGATTGCTATGTATTCTTGATGAATTGACCTGTTTATCTCCATAAAATGACTTTCTTTATCTTTGAAAATATTATTTGCTCTGAAATTTCCTTTGATATTACTATAGCCATTCTAGCTTCCTTTTGGAAAAGATTAGTATTAGCATGGTATATCTTATTGCATCCTTTTACTTTTGACCAAATGTGTCTTTATATCTAAAGTGTGTTTCTTATGGGTAGCATATATTTGGATGTTACATTTTTATTATCCAATTGGACAATCTCTAGTATTTAATAGGAGTGTTTAGTACATTTCTATTTAATATGATTATTGATGTGGTTAGGTTAAATCTATTGTCTTACTATTTGTTTTCTAGTAATCCCATTAGCTCTTTTGTTTCTTTTCCTCTTTTTCTCCTTTTTTTCTAGAATTGAGTAGGTATTATTTTATTGCATGTCCCTTATTGACTATACTTTTTGTTTAGCTATACCTATAGCTATCTTTTATTGTTTAATTATTTATTTGTTGCTTTAGGGTTTATCATCTACATTTTTAATTTATCAGTTTAGAGAGTAACAACATCCAGATGGCAGAGTAGTAGATACCAACCTTTATCCACCCACAAAAGACAAAAATTATTCAGCTATCCATATGCAAAAGTAGACTTGGGCAGTCTCTAGAGTCCAGTTCAGAACCTACAGCAACACAGTGGAGGGAAAATAACCGCACAAAAAGGATTTTTGGGGTGATTGGTGTACCACAGACATATAGATATAACTAAAAACAAAGAAGGGTGGCAGTTACCAGTATCAGCCATGCAGCAGGTACAACTGTGGTCCCCAGTGGCCTGCTTGGCAGATGACTCTGGCAGCCTTTGCCACTGAGAAATTCAATGGTCCCAGTAGCAGCAATATAATAGTAATGGGGGATTTAATAACCTACTCTTAAAAACAGATATATCATCCAGAAAAAAATCAATAAAAACCATTAAATTTGAACTATGTTTTATACCCAATGGACCTCACAGATATATACAGAACATCCCATCTCACAGCAACTGAGAATATACATTTTCTCAAGTGCACATAGAACATTTTACAAAATAGGTCATATGTTAGGCCACAAAAAAAACTTAACAAAATTAAGAATATTAAAATAATATCAAATATCTTTTCTGGACACAATGGCATGAAACTAGAAATCAATAATAGGAGAAAAACTAAAAACTTTACAAATATATAGAAATTAAACACCATATTCCTGAACGACAGATGGGTCAAAGGAGAAATCTCTAAGAAAATTGGAAAAAAAAAAATACTTTTAAACAAAAATGGAAACACAATATACCAAAACTTATAGGATGAAGCAAAACCAATTCTAAAGCAGAAGTTATACATTAAGTAAAAAGAAAGATCTCAAATAAACAACCAAAGAACAAACTAAGCTCAAAGTCCACAGAAGGATGAAAATAAAGAAGGACAAAAATAAATGAAATATAGAAAAATAAAAAGACCAATTAAACTCATAGTTGGAATTTTCAAAGGATAAGCAAATTCAATAATTTTTTTTTTCTATTTTAGGTTTGGGGTATACGTGCAGGTTTGTTACATGGGTAAATGGCATGCTATGGGGGTTTGGTGTACAGATTATTTTGTCACTTAGGTAATGAGTACAGTATCCGATAGGTAATTTTTCAATTCTCACCCTCCTCCTACCCTCCACCCTCAGGTAGGCCCCAGTATCTATTGTTCACCACTTTGTGCCCGTGTATACTCAATGTTTAGCTCCCACTTGTAAGTGAGAAGATGCAGTATTTGGTTTTGTGCTCCTATGTTAATTCACTTAGGATAATGGCCTCCAGCTCCATCCATGTTGCTGCAAAGGACATTATATAATTCTTTTTTATGGCTGCATAGTATTCCATAGTGTATATGTACCACATTTTCTTTATCCAGTCCACTGCTGATGGGCATGTAGGTTGATTCCATGCCTTTGCTATTGTGAATAGTGCTACAGTGATGAGCATACGCATGCCTGTGTCTTTATGATAGAACAATTTATATTTCTTTGGGTGTATACCCAATAATGGGATTGCTGGGTCAAATGGTAGTTCTGTTTTAAGTTCTTTGAGAAATCTCTGAACTGCTTTCCATAGAGGCTGAACTAATTTACATTCCCACCAACAGTGTGTAAGCATTTTCTTTTCTCTAAACCATTACCAGGGTCTGTTGTTTCTTCACTTTTTAATAATAGTTATTCTGACAGGCTTGAGACGGTATCTCATCATGGTTTTGATTTACATTTCTATAATGACTGACTAATGATGTGGAGCATTTTTTCATTTGTGTTGGATGTCAGAATGTTTTGAGAAATGTCTGTTCATGTCCTTTGCCCATTTTTAATGGTGTTTTTTTCTTGTTGACTTGTTAAGGTTTCTTATAGATCCTAGATATTAAACCTTTGTCAGATGCATAGTTTTCAAATATTTTCTTCCATTTTGTAGATTGTTTGTTTACTCTGTTGATAATTTCCTTTTCTGTGTAGAGGCTCTTTAGTTTAATTAGGTCTGACTTGTCAAATTTTTGTTGTTGTTGCAGTTGCTTTGGAGGTCTTCAACATGAAATGTTTGCAAAAGCTAATGTCTAGAATGGTGTTACTAAGTCTTCTTCTAGGGTTTTTTAGCATTAGGTTTTATATTTAAATCTTTAATCCCTTGAATAGATTTTTGTATATGGTGAGAGAAAGAGGTTCAGTTTCAATCTTCTGCATGTGGCTAGCCAGTAATCACAGTACTAATTATTAAACAGGGTGTCCTTTCTCCATTGCTTGTTTTTGTGGATTTTGTTGAAGATCATATGATTGTAGGTGTGCAGCTTTATTTCTGGTTTATCTAACCTGTTTCATTGGTCTATGTCAAAATCAATAAACTTTTAGCTAGACTAAGATATACAGAAAGATGACCAAAATAAAATTAGAAATAAAAGAGGAGATATTACATCAGATACCACAGAAATGCGAAAAACCATAAGAGACTACTATGAACAATTATGCACCAAAAAGTTTGATTACCTTAGACAAATGGATGAATTCCTGAACACTTTCAATACACCAAGACTGAATCATGAAGAAATGCAAAATCTAAGCAAACCAATAACAAATAGGGAGATTGAATCAGTTATTAAAAACCTCTCAAGAAAGAAAAGCCCAGAACCTGATGGCTTCACTGCTGAATTTTACTAAACTTTTTTTTTTTAATTTCATAGCAATCCTTCTCAGTCTCAGGAAGGAAGGCTTCCAAACTCATGAGACTAACATTACCTTGACATGAAAGTCAGGAAAAGTCAGTACGAAAAAAGAAAACAGGCCAATATCTCTGATAAATATCCAGGCAAAAACACTCAACAAAATATTAGCAAACTGAGTTCAACAACACATTGAAAAGATCACACACCATAATTAAGTGAGATTTATCCCTGGGATGCAAGGATGGTTCAATATATGCACATCAATGAATGTGATACTTGACATTAACAAAATGAAAGATATAAATCATGGAATCATCTAAATAAATGCAGAAAAAGCATTTGACAAAATTCAATATCCTTTCATGATAAAAACTCTCAATAAATTAGGTTTAGAAAGGATGTACTTCAACACAATAAAGAATATATGACAATCCCTTGGCTAACATCATATACAATGATGAAAGGCTGAATGCTTTTTCTCTAAGATCCAGAGCAAGACAAAAATTCCCACTTTTACCACTTCTATTCAACATAGTACTGGAAGTTCTAGCCAGAACAATTAGGCAAGAGAAGGAAATAAAAGACACCCAGATCAGAAAGAAAAAAATAAAATTGTCTCTCTTTGTATATGATATGATCTTACATAGAAAAAATCTTAAAGATTCCACCCAAAAAACTATTAGAATTAAAAAATGAATTCAGTAAATTTGCAGGATAGAGAATCTCTATACAAAAATCAGACTTTTTTTGTATAAAGTAACAACAAACATCTGTAAAATTTATTTTTTAAATTTTATTTATTTATTTATGTATTTATTTATTTATTTATTTATTTTTGAGGCAGTATCTCGCTCTGTTGCCTAGGCTAGAGTGTAGTTGTGCAACCTCAGCTCACTGCAACCTCCACCTCCTGGGTTCAAGCAATTCTCCCACCTCAGCTTCCCGAGTAGCTGAGATTACATGCTTGAGACACTGCACCCAGCTAATTTTTTTTTGTATTTTTAGTAGAGACAAAGTTTTGCCATGTTGTCCAGGCTGGTCTCAAACCCCTGGTCTCAAGTGATCCACCTGTCTTGGCCTCCTAAAGTGCTAGGATTACAGGTGTGAACCACTGGGCCTGGCCATAAAAATTAATGTTAAAAAAACTTTTTACAGTAGTATTGAAAAGAATAAATATTTTAGGAATAAATATAACCTAGGAGGTGAATATCTGTTCAATTAAAACTGTAAAACATTAATAACAGAAACTGAAGACACAAATAAATATGAAAATACCCTGTGTTCAAGGATTGGAAAAAATATATTGTCAAGGTGTCCATGCTACCTAGTGCTAGCTACATGTTCAATAAAACTTCTATTAAAATGTCAATAGTATTTTCCACAGAAATAGAAAAACAATTCTACAATTCATATGAAAGCACAAAAGACCCCAAATAGCTACAACTATCTTGAGCAAAAATACATAAGTAAGTGGCATTAGACTTTCTGGTTTTATTTTACAAAACTATACTAATGAAAATAGTATGACATTGGCATAACAAAAGACACATAGACCAATGGAACGGAATAGAAATCCATGAAATAAACCTATGCATATATGGTCAACCAACCTGACAAAGATGCCAATGATACATAAGACGGAAAACTTCATCTTTTCAGTACATGGTGTTGGGAAGCTGGATATTTACATGCAAAAAATAAAAAAATAAAAAAAGAAGAGAAAAGAAAGAAATTGGACAGGCAAAAAGAGAAAAAAAATAAATGACTATAGCTACACCAAACTCAAAAAGCTTCTGCACAGCTAAGGAAACAATCAACAAGATGAAAGGACAACCCACACAATGGGAGAAAATATTTGTAAACCATACATTCAGTAAGGGACTAATATTCAAAATGTATAAGGAACACCTACAATTTAATAGCAAATAAATAAATAAATAAATAACACAATTTTTTAAAGGGTAAAGAACCTAAATAGATATTTTTCCAAATAAGACATACAATGGCCAACAGGTGTATGAAAAGGTGCTCAACACCACTAACCATGAAGGAAGGGCAAATCAAGCCTGTTATGAGATCTCTCCTCATATCTGTTAGGGTGGCTATTACCAAATGTCAAAAGATAACAAGTGTTAGTAAGAATGTGGAAAAAAGAGAACCCTTGAACATTGGTGGGAATGTAAATTGGTACTGCCATTTTGGAAAATAATATGAAGATTCCTCAAAAAGTTAAAAATAAAACTACAATATGATCAATCAATGCCACTTCTGGATATACATCCAAAGAAAATGAAGCCAGTAATCTATACTCCCATGTTTATTGCTGTATCATTTACAGCAGCCAAGATATGGAAAAAACCTAAGTATCCATTGACAGATGAATGGATAAAGAAAATGTAGTACACATACATATACATATATGGGATATTGGGATATTATATTTCATGTATAAATATTATTTCACCACACAATGAAATATTATTCAGCATTATAAAAGAAGGCAATACTACCATTTTATGACAACATAAAACTTGGAGGACGTTATGCTAGGTAAAATAAACCTGACACAAAGAGAAATACTGCATAATCTCACTTATATGTACAATCTTAAAAAATATGACTTGTAGAAACAAAAAGTAGAATAGTAGTCACCAGAGGATGGGGATTGGGGGAAAGGAGATATGTTAGCCAAAGGATATAGAATTTTAGTTAAAGATGAATAAGTTCTGGAGACCTAATTAGTTAATGATAATATATTGTGTACTTGATATTTCCTAAGAAAGTAGATCTTAAGTATTCTGAACACACACATACACACACACTCTCACACACGATAACTATATGAAGTGATAGACATAATAATTAGCTTGACTCGGTAATAATTTCACAATCCATACATATATAAAAACCTCGAGTTGGCCAGGCACGGTGGCTCACCCCTGTAATCCCAGCACTTTGGGAGGCTGAGGTGGGTGGATCACTAGGTCAAGAGATCGAGACCATCCTGGCCAATATGGTGAAGCCCTGTCTCTACTAAAAATACAAAAATTAGCTGGGTGTGGTGGCATGCACCTGTAGTCCCAGCTACTTGGGAGGCTGAGGCAGAAGAATCGCTTGAACCCAGGAGGTGGAGGTTGCAGTGAGCCGAGATCACACCGCTATACTCCAGCCTGGTGACAGAGGGAGACTCCATCTCAAAAAACAAACAAACGAACAAGCAAGCAAAAAACCTTATGTTGTATATACCTTGAACAGGACTAATTATTCTCCACTAAGGAGGCAAAGTCTTCCTTAGTATTCAACCCAGTGCCCCATGAATGAAGTTTTCCTTTCTGACTTGTAGGAACCAGATCTATCCCAAGGCCAGTGTGATAGTCAGTTAATGTTTCCACTAATTCCTTTAGAGGTTTCCTCTGTAGCCATAAGTAGTTCTTGTTTGTCTCTCTCTCCCTCTCTCCCTTTCCTCCTTAATTATCTGCTAAACATTCAAGGGGGTCCTCTGTAGATCTCTCTGTGCAGTTCTCTCCATTCTCATAGCCCTATGAACTCTGATTGTTTTGTTTCCCGAATTCTTCTCAGTTCTGTCTCCTCAATTCAGAATGTCGGCCATCAACAAACACACTTTTTAAAAAAAAAAAGCTCAACATCACTGATTATCAGGGAAATGCATATCAAAACCACAATGTAATACCACGTTACTCCTGCAAGAATGACCATACTCAAAAAAATAAAAAATAATAGATGTTGGCATGGATGTGGTGAAAAGGGAACACTTTTACACTGTTGGTGGGAATGTAAACTAGGACAACCACTATAGAAAACAGTGTGGAGATTCCTTAAATAACTAAAAGTAGATCTAACATTTGATCCAGCAATCTCACTCCTAAGTATCTACTCAGAGGAAAAGAAGCCATATGAAAAAGACACTTGCACATGCATATTCATAGCAGCACAATTGCAATTGCAAAAATATGGAACCAGCCCAAATGCCCATCAATCAATGAATAGATAAAGAAAACGTGGTGTTGTGTATACACCATGGAATACTATTCAGCCATAAAATGGAACAAAATAATGGCATTCACAGCAACCTGGATGGAATTGGAGACCATTATTCTAAGTGAAGTAACTTGGGAATGGAAAACCAAACATCATTTGTTCTCACTCATAAGTGGGAGCTAATCTATGAGGTTGCAAAGGCATAAGAATGATACAATGGACTTTGAGGACTCAGGGAAAGAGTGGAAGGGGATGAGGGATAAAAGACTACACATTGGATACAGCATACACTGCTTAGGTGATGGGTGCACCACAATCTCAGAAATCATCACTAGAGAATGTATTCATGCAAATAATTAATTAATTAATTAACTAAAGAATTGTTTTAAAAGGAAAGAAAGTTGGCCAGGCTCCATTTCAGTTCCCTGTTCCTGTGCCAGTGCCTGAAAGTTCCTCAGTAAAGTAACCTAGGGCAATCATATGGTTTATTTGTTTATTTATTTTCTCACCACCTGATGTTCAAGTCTTAAAACCATTCTTTCGTATGTATTTTGTTTATTTGTTTCCTTGTATTCTTGTATTTGGTAGTTTCATGCAGGTGACTGCATATAGCTCCTCTTGCTTCATCTTGGTAAGATATAGAAGTCTGAATTTAGTTTTTAAAAGTGATATCCAGTGAAAAGTTTTTGAGTGGTCCTGCCCTAATGCAGGTGAATGCATGAATGGACCTGCTCAAGTCTGTCTTCCTCTATGAGCTCTGAGTCCTGTTTTCTACCTCTGGGAAGCTCTTCTGATGGGGAAAGAAAGAGAAAGAGAGAGAGAGAGATTTTCCCAACTATTTTGGGTTTCCTCTTGGGGTCCTATCATTTGCACTTTCTGAATCTTATCAGGCCATAACCACAGTTCTCTCTTGAGAAACATTTTCTAAATATTGTCACTGTCCTTCAGACTGCAAGTCTTCACAAGCTGCCATTGCCATTATTACCTTTGTCTGATTCAGTGTCATGGAAACATGAGTCTTAGACAAATCATCAATACAGTGTTTAAAAAGGCTAGCATCTGATAAATAATTCCCCACCTCCCTCACCCACACACATTTTTATGAAGACAACATTGTTTCTGCAGTTTCCTGACACAAATGATAGTACTGCAAAAATTATACTTAAGCAAGTGGTGAAGATAGAGCCAGAGTTTCACCTCCCCTTGTGCTTCATTTTAAGTTTGTTTTTTCTAGTCTAATGTGTTCAGGATCAATATATGGTACAGGCTTGGACAATTACATCTTGATGGAAATATTGAATGGGCTTTTGTGGGTGGGGGCAAAATTTGATTCTCAAAGCCAGGGTATTACCCATGAAAGTCCATGGTGTTTTTTACAGTGGTGGCTACCTGCCGTTCTTTCTCTCTTTCTTTTTGATCTACTGTCTACCCAGCCCAGGCCTCAGCTTTATGGGAACCCATTCTAGCATATTGGCTCCTTGACTCTGCAATGAGTCTGTTTATTGCTCACTCAGCTTTCAATTGTGAGATATGAGATTCAAGCTACAAAGATCTAATCCAACCCTCTATTTAGAGATGGGGAAGCAGAGGTTTAGGAAGTGGAAGGAACTTGCCTATGTCCCACCACAAGGTTATAACTAAAGGAGAGATAGAACACAACATGCCCCACTCCTAACAAAGTTAAATATCATAGTCACCAAGCCAAGCTCTCTAGAAAATATCAAAGAGGATATTACCTAATAGGTAATACCCGCATTCCTTCATAGTCTTTTTCAGAGGGTTATAGCATGTGGAAGCAATTCTCTGGATGACCTCATTACCAGGAAAGTTAATCCGGCCACCAATTCAACACTTTTTTTTTCAGTTTCCCTGCTTAGACTTTTTCGTTAAGACTCTTCGATTCAATAATTAGTAATTACTGTAAGCTGGGCCTGGTGGCTCACACCTGTAATCCTAGCATTTTAGGAGGCTGAGGCAGGAGCATCACTTGAAACTAGAGGTTTGAGATGAACAGGTGCAAGAGAGTGAGACCTCCTTATCTCTACCAAAACTGTAAAAATTAGATGATCATGGAAATGCACGGCTGTAGTCTGAGCAACTCAGAAGGCTGAGAGGAGAAGATCACTTGAGCCCAGGAGTTCAAGGTTGCAGTGAGCTATGATCATGCCACTGTACTGTAGCCTGGGTGGCAGAGTGAGACCCTGTCTTTAAAAATAAATAATAAGTATTGTATATGCACTAGCAGGAGGACAACAATAACCTTCCCATACTAATATAGGACTATATGCTTTTAAAAGCACAAGTGCTTTTCGTTTCCTCATTTGATTCTATAATGAAGACTGGTCATTTGGGAGCTATGCAGCACCAAACACCAAGTCCCTCTTTCTAATTGCATCCCTCTTTCTAATTTCTAATTGCAGGGTGTGTGTGTGTGTGTGTGTGTGTGTGTGTGTGTGTGTGTGTGTGTGTGTGTGTGTGTTGGGTGGGGGCGTGGTGGGTATAAGAAGTTACTTTTTGCCTGTCGTGTGATGTCTTGGTGACTATACATGAAGTTACTCTGCCTTTCTAGTGCAGAGACCAAAATGTCACAGGAGATTTATCACTTCAGATCCTTCCTTTTGATGCCTTTGCACAGCCAAAGTCATGTGACTCAAGCTTTTCCAATCAGAATCTATTCTAAGACTATAAATCTTGAACATGGTGTCACCCAGCATGAGGACAAGTTTAGAAGTCACTCATTAGGGTTGCAATAAATATAAAATTTATGTTTTGACAGATTGCGTCATGATCAGATGTGACACATGTATCATTAAAAAATAAGATTTTACTTTTCTTCAAGTACATGGGTCCCGTGATACATAAGATAGTGGTGAACAATATTTAACAGCTATCATCTGCATGGTGCATTTCTACTCCTGGTTTTTTTCGTTAAGTGGACACAAATGTCAGAAGATTGCTTGAAATTGAGCTCCCCCAAATCTGAAGTATACATGCAAAAGTGAAAGTCCCCCTAGCCTGATTGATGATAGATCTTATCGAATTAAATGGTATCTAACTCAATAGTACAGTCAGCACACTGTATCTGGAACATATTAAATTTATTGACACCCTTGGTTGATGTTCTTTGTGGGTTTATAGTCCTGATATTGCCTTCTCATGACCCTCTGCTACATCAGCACTATTTCCAAGTGAGAGAGTCAAGTAGTGTCTGCTTATATAGAACATTATTGTTCCTACCAGTTTCTAATTCTGCAAGTTACCTGATAACCTTCTAATAAAGACCCTTCTGTTGCTTAAGCTAGCTAAAACAGCTTTCTGTTACTTACGACCAAAGAATTGTAAGTGATACATGTCTTCATGCTACCTATAGAAGTTAGTCAAGGCTGAAATTAATATGTGCATTTACTATTTGATAAAATTGAAGCTTAGAGAGATTCACTTAGTGTTCAAAGATTACACAATGAGTGAGCAACAAAGTTGAAATTGTAATTTATCTCTTGACATCTAAGTCTAGGCATTATCTATACAGATTTAAGTATTATGTAATTTTTTAAAGTAAGGATTTGATAGATGAACACTGATTGTTTTAGTTTAGGATGTCACAGAAGCTTGCCCTGAGACAAGGAATTAAGCACATGTGGTTTATTTAGAACATAATTCCGGGAAACAACTGAGGCAAAGAAGCGAAAACAGACCAAGGATGCACTATTAGACAAGTTATCACTGTGCATCTCTGGAGCTTAATTGCCTGAAGAATTCTAAAAGCCAGTGTTATGAACCGACTTGTATCCCACCAAAATTCAGATGTGGAAGCCTAAATTCCAATGTGACTATATTTGAAGACAGGGCCTTTACAGAGGTAATTAACATTAAATGAGATCATAAGGGTGGGCTGCAATCCAATCTGACTCATGTCTTTACAGAAAGAGGAAATTTGGACACACATGAGAAATACCAGGGATATGCCTACACAGATAAAAGTCCATGTAAGGACACAGCAAGAAGGAGGACACCTGCAAGCCAAGGAGAGAGGAGTGTGGTCTCTGGAGAAATTTAACCTGCCAACACCTTGATCTTGGACTTCTAGTCTCCAGAACTGTGAGAAAATAATTTCTGTTGTTTAAGCCACCCAGTGTGCAGTATTTTGTTATGGCAGCCCTAACACATTAATGCTGCCAGTGTAGAACATGCACTACCTGAGAAAAGATGGTATCCCACTGGTTCTCAAAGTGCTGTATTTGGACCAGCAGGATCGGCATTGCTTGGAAACTTACTAGAAATGCAAATTCTCAAGCCCACCCCAGAGCTACTAAATTAGAAGCTCTGGGGGTGGAACCAGCAGTGGTGATTTAACAAGGCCTCTTCAGGTGATTTTGATGCTCGCTCAAATTTGAGAACAACTTGCCCATCAATTCTTGTCAATGATTGGTTGAGGGATGCTGCTGAAGACATTAATCCCCTGCATGTCTAACTTGCCAGGTCGGTAAGCAGAGTGGGCTCCAAAGGCAGGAGAAAGTTGCAGCAAAAGAGATGCACACTCACATTTGGAAGACAAGCTGGTAAGCAATGAAATGATAAAGCCCTAAGGGATACAGGTGAGGTAGCACCTGCTAAACTAACCATGATGACAACGATGATGATGATAATGTACAAGAATTTATCATGTAGTACTTGTAGTTGGCAGCACTACTCTTCAACTCCTTTATGGTCCTCCGTTTGTATTGAAATTTCCAAGTGACTAAAGTTTGTCTCTCCAAGTATGTGGTAATATCGTTGAGTATAGCAGGACAAGAGAGGGAAACCTGTGACTGTCTATTATGTATCAGAGATTGTAATCAGAATCTTATTATTTTTTTTCGAGATGGAGTCTTGCTCTGTTGCCCAGACTGGAGTGCAATGGCATGATCTCGGCCCACTGTAACTTCTGCCTCCTGGGTTCAAGTGATTCTCCTACCTCAGCCTCCGGAGTAGCTGGGCTTATAGGCACGCACCACCACGCCCCGCTAATTTTTTTATACTTTTAGTGGAGACAGGGTTTCACCATGTTGGCCAGGCTGGTCTCGAACTCCTGACCTTGTGGTCCACCTGCCTCGGCCTCCCAAAGTGCTCGGTTACAGGTGTGAGCCACTGCGCCTGGCCTGCAATCAGAATCTTAAATGTGCTCAATCTTTACAATAATCCTGGAAAGTAAACACCATTATCCTAATTTTACAGTTCAGAGGGTTGAGATAAAAAGGAAGTGGCCCTAGAAGGGTAAGTGGCAACACTAAGATCTGAAATTGCATATATCTGACTACAAAATCTATACCCTATCCACTATCTGAACCTTTAGGAATTCATAGTAATTTCTCAAGTGCAATATATTAAGATGTTCTGAGAATGTCTAGAAGAATCAAAATCTTAGCCTTCATTTGGAAACTTCACTTAATTAACACGAGTATTAGGGGAGGGAGCTGAGACTTACAAAGTAACTGTTTTGACCACTCAGATTTTCTCAAAAGGCCAATAAAAGGGGGGAGGGTGCTATTACAAATGGTGGTTCCTAGGAGATTCCTAGTCTTCCCTAATAAACTCTTCTTGATACAGCTTTTTTAAGGAGCCTAGGCAACAGGCCAACACTCTTAGCTGTGGTCTTGTATTTCTCACCTGTTGAGTTTAATTGTGTACATAATATGCCTTTAATAAGAAAAGCTGGGGCAAGTCTGTTTCCTGCCCTAGCAATGTGGGGAGTCCGTATAAATATTCTAGTGCAGAAAGAGTGCCTAGAATAACAAATAAACAGTCATTGATAGAAAGCTATGGAAGGTAGGGAACTATAAGATTTTTGAGTGAAGACAGCTCCTCCAGTGTCATCCAGTCTAAACTCACTCAAGGGTGAAATCCTCTCCAGAATAGATGTTGGGCAAAAACCTGCTTGGAACTCCAAGTGCATGAACATGAGATAGCCCATTTCAATAGGAAAGTAATGGGAAAACAAAATAAAAATCACATTTTTAAAGAGATTTATGACCTAAATGTGGCCTTCAAAAATGTGAATAAAGAATGGCTTTTCTTCATACTAGAGTACATACAGTGACATTAAACTACATCTTCCATATTTCTTCAGGTTAGTAGTAGGGGAAATCCTAAAGCAGGTGAAATTATTATCTAGGTCCCCATCCCTTCACATTTTGACTTTGCCTCTATTGTGGGAAATCAAGACATTAGACAGTCAGAACTCACATGTTCACTCCTCATTAATTGTGGAGATACTGGCCACACTCCACACTGTTGGCTAGAAGATCTTCAATCATTGCTAAGTAAAGCACTTCTTGCCACATCTTTTTTTCCTGGGGCACTTACCTTGTGAAAAGCAGCTCAGTGGCAAATAAAGCCCTGAAATTTGGGCCTCTGGTTTTATGATGAGTTGGATTCTTATTTAAAATTATGGTGTGTTTTCTTTGTGGTATCTTAATGGGTATGGATTACCTCTAAGAGTAAGAGTCACTTGGCTTCTCCCTGAATCTTCTTTTTAGCCCCTCTTGAAGAGATCTGCTTTTTTCTGTGGGATCCTCCCCAGGACTCCAAGTAGCTCATATTTTAAAGTCATACTCTCTTAAGCACATCCTTCAGAATTAATGAATATCTATTCATCTTATTGCACGATGTGGTATCATACAAATACATAAATTGAAATGTATTCATATAGCTATGAACATACATTATATACATCCATGCTCATGGTTGTATCCTTTTGGCACATGATTCTAAAATCATTATTATGTTAGTTAGGGCTTCTGGCATCTTCCTTTGATGAATCGGGGAAAGTTATTGTCAGGAGCCAAATTTCTTACTCTTGTTCTATTAAATTTCAATTCCATTTCCATGGATTTTTTTGTGAATGACTGGGGGCTTTTCCTGTCTGTTTTTCTATCTATCTATCTGTCTATCTATAAACTATAAGAAACACAAACCTTTGTAGCTCCCTTTAATCATTTTCCAATTATGTTAAACATTCAACCATGTTATTCTTTAATGACATGAAGTTAATTTCTGCACAATATTCTAATACGTGGATGTGCCATAATTTACATAACTTATCCTTCACTTCAGTAATTTAGTTTATTTCCAACTAACAAATATTATTCTTGTATAGTCTTCCTCATTCACATTTTTTTATGATTTCTGTAGAATAAATTCCTAGTGGAAAAATTGCTAGGTCAAAGATGATGCTCATTTGAAAGCTTTTAATATATGCTGCTGATTGTAAAAGGCACCAAATTATATTCTCAGTAGCAGAGTATGGGAGATTTTGATTCCCTACATCCTACGCATTATCCTTTTTTCTACTCCTTCGCTCCTTAGACAAAATTATACCCTTGTCCTGACTGAGCCTTTGGCACAAAATGAGGATTCTAGAGAAGGAGATAACTAAAATTGGAAGAAGAAACAAATGAACACACATAGACACATACACACAAACTACTGCATTTTTCTTCATTAACCTTGTAAATGAAATTCTTCAGCATTGATGAAAATATATTTTCTTCTGTCTGACTCAATTTAGCCTGTAAAGCATTAGCTAATCCTTCAGACTAATGCTGCCATTAGCCTCTTTTGAGTTTAAGTTGTACCTTGTATGACACATATAATATACATGTTCAGTAAGATTTAACAATTATTCATCAAGTCCATGCTAAATGTCAGGCTATCCCCCTGGCACTGGACAATACTAGAGAGAAAAATGAATATGACATTGCCCCTTACCATTGTGGGCTTACAACTTAGTGAAGGATTGTGGCTATAACCAAAGGCCCACTGAGTATATCAAGGCTCAAATAGAGGTGTAAAATTCAGAGACAGAACAGAAAAGTATCAATACAAAGTCCTAGTCTGTTTTCTGCTGTGATAACAGAATACCAAGGACTTGCTACTTAATAAAGAAAGGAAGTGTGTTTGGCTCATGGATCTGGAGGCTGCTAAGTCTAAGAGCATGGCACTGGCTTCTGGTGAGGACCTTCTTACAGCATCATTACGTGGTGGGAGATATCATATGACAAGCAAGAGTGAGAGAGAGGGCATGTGAAACAGAGAAAAACCAGGGGCTGAATTTATTCTTTTTTATCAGGAATCCACATCCATGATAATAACATCAATGCATTCTTGAGGGCAGAGCCCTTGTGACCAAATCACTTCTTAAAGTTTCCATCTCTCTTTTTTTTTTTTTTTTTTGTTGAGACTGAGTCTTGCTCTGTTGCCAGGCTGGAGTGCAGTGGCGCCATCTCGGCTCACTGCAACCTCCTCCTCCTGGGTTCAAGTGATTCTCCTGCCTCAGCCTCCCGAGTAGCTGGGACTACAGGTACATGCCACCTAAAGGTTCCATCTCTTAATACCTTCACAATATCAATTAAATTTCAATATAAGTTTTGTAGATAATATTCAAACTATAGCATATTAATAAAATAATAATAAATAACACAAATATCATCACTACTCTTAAAACTAATCCTTTTAAATGCTGATTGTGTACCATGCTGTGTTTTGAGTGTTTTACATGTTTTATTTCATTCCATCATCACCATATCACTATGAAGTAGATACTATTATTATTCATTTCTATATATGAAGAAACTAGAAAACAGAGAGATTAAATAAATTGCCTAAAAATATTAAGGTATAATTACTGGAAACTACTGTAAGCATTGAGGAAGTCTTTTGAAGAAGATAAGGTATGAGATCTAAGGGAAGGATTAAGCCTTCCACGTATAGAGAATGGAGTGAGGAGTACTCCAGGTGGGAAATACAGCCTGAGAAAAAGTATTGCAACAGAAAGGGCAGGCCACATATAAGGAGGCAGGATTGAGGAACTGAAATAAAGATATGGTAGAAGATAAAGAAGGTTGGGGTTTGGTAAAGGAAATCTAAAATGCCAGATTTGGGCATTTTTGCTTTGTTTTATTTTATTGTGTGGAATTTTTTTTCTGGTTGTTGTTTTTATTCTTTATCTTTCTTCCTGTTGGAAGACAAAGGGATACATTTTAAAGCCTTTGCAGAAGTTGAGTGATATAATTAGAACATTAGAAGGTAAGTCTGGTAACATTTTATTGGATGAGACTATTAAAATAGTCGAGAAGGTGCTTTTTTTATATAAATTCAAGAAATGTTTATCTATTGGAGATTTATATTTGACATCTTGTGGGTAGAGATGGGACCATAGAAGCAATAATAACTCACATTTCACTGGCATTTGCTCCTGAAATGAAATTGTCCCTAGGGACCCCAAACTCTTCTCCTCCTGACTTGCAGAAGAATTTCATCTCTTATCAGTTCTTAGGACCTAATGTACATAATTATGCCCCACCCAGAAGAAAAAAGGGAGTTAAATTTTTATCATCCCCCTTCTGTTATTTGTATATATTTTATTTTACCCCTAAATCGACTTTTTGAGGTGCCTTTTGAGGATTGGGTTGACCTTTGACCTTGATATATTTAGATTTATTTTGATCTTTGACCTTTCTTTTTCCTCCTAACTACACAATATTTAGCCCAGTATTTGTTTGTCTTTCATAGTCAGCATTAAACATTGAATTAATAAACCACAAATGGAACTCAGGTCAGTGGCACACCCTTTGTTGCCTATGCTTGGATTCATATCTATGACTATGTCTGGTTCTCTATCGAACTCAAGCCAATGTCCATTAACAGGGATAACATTTAGCACACTTAGAAATGAGAAATATATTTACCTATATATTGGTGTCTATAGTCATCTGATGAGACTCCGATCATCTTAATTTATTATGACCTTTATTGCCTGCCAGGAAGCAATGATGTGCTCAAATTTCACTTGCGTTTCTTAGCAGGAATCCAACCTCAATCGATATTTGGGAAGAATGACAATTCTTGAGAAAGTTCAGAATCTGAGTCTAGCTAATCCATTATGATTATTTGTAATAGAAGCTTTATAGGGACTCTGATGAAAGAATTTGCTAACAGTAGTTCTCCGTAGTTAGACCTATTTTTGAGTCATAGTTCATCAATAGGCAGATTTCTCTGAGAATAGATCTTGATCTCTAGAAGTCAATATGAAAGGGTCACTGGATTGGGAATATGAAGCTCTGCTTTTTCTTAAGGCTTCATCTGCTAGTGAACCGTATGAGGCTGATAGTGGGTCTTCTGGAAGATGGGGATGAGAGTCCAGTGCATTAGGACCTTGAAGTCATCTTTAGGCTAACTTGCTATGGGCCAATGAAGCTATCTCAGTCAAATGAGATACAAGTTAAGAGAAACTACACTGGAACAACCTGATAAAAGTTCGTTCAAATCAAGAGCTTGGGGGTGAGATGAACCTTCTAAACCATCACATTGAAATTTACCCATTTACTTTAAACCATCAGCCTTTAGAGCATTTTTATAAGTTCTTGTCTTTCTTTGAAGTCATAGTTTGCTTTAAATCTCTCATTTATAATGTTCTTCCCATTCCCTTTTGGTCTTTACATGCCTTCATGCTCTGCAGAAAAAAAAAACTGGGAGATGAATAAGTGGGGCTTTATCTTAGCTAAATGGAAAAAAAAAAAGGAAGTTATCTTGAGTGAATTTTCTGCACTTCTTTTTTGCTCTCTAATACCTTAGCATATTCCTTAAAATATCAAACATGGGTGCTCAGACATTCAGCAAGGCAGACAGGGGAGGAGAATTGGTCCTGATCTGTGCATTAAAAATAGCTTACAGCCACTATTTCTCTTTCATCCATCCATTCAACAAACACTGATTAAAGATGTTGTCCATAAAAAAAAAAAAAGGCTGTCAAGTCAGAGAGACATGAGTTTGTACATAAGTTCTACTATAAGACTGGGTAAATTTGAGCCACTTTAAAAACTCCTCCCAGCCTTTATGCCTCACCTGTAAAGTGGAAATAATAATAGAATCTATTTCCTGGGGTTACTAAGAGATTAAATGAATACTGGGGGATTAAAGTGCTCTGTGCAGGCCTGTGTGAATAAACAGAAGCTCCTATCATTACAGGCACTTTCCCTACTGTATACTTTAGAGAACACAAAGATGAATTAGATGAGGCTATTGTCTAAACAGGAGGAAGCCCATAGTCTAATGGAAGACACATATCATTCAGGTTGTATATCACAGAAATTCAGAGAAAGCATACATTATAGCCGGGAAGCTAGAAATCATAGATCTGGTGATATTGGATCTGAGTCTTGAAAGATGTCAGAAATTTAGATAGGATTTGGGGGTAGAGTGACAGTAAATACAATACATGTAATGTAGATACTATCATCCTATCCATCTTTCTCTAAGTTCACCCCTCAACAAATTACATGGTTCCTCTTTGTGACTCTCTTTCTCCTAGAAAACATAAATGGCATTCATTTTTAATATTATTTGACTCAGATAAATGTATCACAGAATCCTTTGCATGATACCCTGAGAACTTAATCTCTCCCAATCCGCACAAACAGCCTGCACTGGTATTCTTTCTCATTATTTCTCATTCCCTCCCCACCAATTTCTGTCTATACTGTGACTCTTCGAAGACTTATTTTCAACCGTCTAAAGGAAGTGGGTAGAAGAGTTACTGAGCTCCTTCTGTGAACCAGGCATTATATAGAGCATGTTATATGTTCTATCACTTAATCTTCATAAACAGCCTTCCAAGTAGGTAGTTATTATCCCATTTATAGATCAGAAAATTGAAGCAGATAGGTAAAGTACTTTGTCCATACAAATCAGAATGGGTAACAAAAAGCAGGTAACACAAAGGACTCTGAACTTCAGTTACTTTAAGTAATTATGGTGTATTTCTTGCTCATTTTCCTGTCCATCCTAGGTTCTCTGGAAGATACATTTTACATGTACTCATCCCAGCACCCAGGCCAACAGAGAGGAGTCTCCAAATTATTGTCAGTTGATGAGGCAGAGGGAAAGAGATGGTGTGGTCAAAATATGCACTGGCTGTTAAATGTTTCACCCAGAAATGACATGTGTTTCTTTTTTTCTAATCTCTCAATGAACAGAAGGCCACATCTCCTTCCCAGGAGCAGGAGCGTCCAATCTTATAATACATCCCCATGAAGAATGTAAAATATTTAGCGAACTGACGGTGACTACTGTGTTGACCAAGGTCACCCAGGGGTGCCTGGTTCAATCAAATTCCTAAGCCTATATTCTTAGACTCAGCACCTGCTCCCTCTTAGCTAGGAATACAATAATCTCCCACTAAGGTAGAAATTGTCAAGCCTTTCACTCATTTCCTCTCTCAAGGGTATTTACCTCTAAAGACCAAATATTTGATTTATAATGGTGAAACTTTAGGCCCCGCATGAGATGGAGATGAAAGACAAGGCAAGGGTGTCTCAGTGGCTCCTCAAATTACACAAGGTAGACTCTGTTTATGGGAGATAATGGATACTAGGCTTTAAAATGACAAAAAATTATTCTGTGGCCTTTGAGCTCTCATTTTTAAGTCTGTACAAATTCCTCCTGAGGATGAGTCAGACTCTGGGGATAGCAAAGCAGAGAGACAGACTGGGAAGTGACAAAAGCATTAGACATAGACGCAAGAACTAGGTTCTGCCCACAGCTTTGCCACCAACAGGCTGAATAAACTTGGACACGTCCATTCCTGTTTCTGGGCTTCAATTTTTTCCCTTTGCAAAACGGAGCTGTTTTAGATGCAGTACTTCTCAAACTTTAATGTATATATTAATGCCCCTGGGGATTTTGTTAAAATGCAGATTCTGAATCTCTAGGTCTGGGGCAGGGGATGAGAGTCTGCATTTCTAAATAGCTTCTGGATGGTGCTAAAACTGTGAGTCTCTAGATCATATTTTGGGTAACAAGACTTAGAGGACTCCTAAGGACAACTCATGGAAATCAACACACATTTATTTGGTACTACCTATTATATGACAGGCACGCTTCTAGGGGCTGTTGATATTAAGACAAAGAAGGCACAGTTTCTGCCCACACTGGAAATACTCACATTCCAATAGGGAAGAAAGACAAATACATCATTTCAAAATAGTGTGATGACACAATTGAAGTTTGTACCAAAAAAAAATATGCCACAGAACAGAGAAGAAGTTATTTATTTAGGGTGGGGTGTGGGATACAGATGTCAGAAAATCACAGATTACGTGAAAAGTGCTGAGAACTATCAAATGATGTATGTATAAAGAAGATCTCTTAATCTCAGAGGGCACTTGAGAATTTCTTTGTCCAAGGAAGGCTCAGCTGTGAGGAGAGGAGATAAATTATTTTGATCAGTAATCTTGAATATTACATCTCAGTCCATGATTGCTTTCTCCCTGCCTTCCCATCCCATCCCATAGCAGCCTGTTAGCACCACACTGATGAAACACTTGCTACCCTAGATAAATCCAGAGTTTGTTTGGAAGCTCCAGCAAGCAGGAAGCTGGCAGAGGTGAGGCCATGGCAGCACTTCACCCTTGCTCAGCCCCCAACAGGACAGAAACAGTGAGTCAGGAAAAGGAAAAGCAGGCGGGTGGAGAAAGGATGCAATCTGCATCATCAAAGGGTAGTGATTATGTTTTCTAAAAGAACACCTGAACACAGTGGCAGCACCCAGGAAGAGGCAGGGTGTGTCCCCACCCCCTGGAATAATAGGGAACTGAGCAGAAAGCAGCCTGATTCAGGGATGATGGGAAGGGGAGAGGAACAGTGAATGAAGGAACATCCAGAAGTGTGTTCTTCCTCTGGCTCATCATAGGTTTTATATTGAAATAGGTTTACTCTGATGCCTAAAGGTGATCACACCAAAAAGAGTCCTAGGTGGCAGATGGGAGAGCTGGTTTCTGGCACCACCTTACTGTGTGACCTTGGGCAAGTGAAGACCACTCTGAGACTCAGTCTTTCCAGTGATGCCATGGGAAGTTTGGGCATAATTTCTAGGGTGACTTCTAACTTCAAGAGTCTATGAAAAGTAGAGGAATGGTTACCAGAAGCTGGAGGATGGGGTAATGAGATGTGGGTCAAAGGGTACAAAATGAATAGGTTCTGGAGATCTAATGTACAGAATGGTGACTATAGGTAATAATAGCATATGGAATACTGGAAGTCTGCTAAGCGGGCAGATCTTAAGTATTCTCACCACACACACAAAAAGGGTGATAACTATGTAAGGTGATGGATATAGTAATTAGCTTTATTAGGTTAATCATTTCACAATGTACCTGTATATCAAATCATCACATTGCACATCTTTAAATATATAAAATTTTGTCAATTGTCTCAATAGAACTGAAGAAAAAAGACTCTATGATTAATTTTTCATGTTCAAGTTCAATATCTTATACTATCAGTATCTCACAGGAAACATTCCTTTCATCCTTACTACCTCCATCTGCCACTTCTCATATACAACTAGATTTGTGACCAAATTTGGTGAGTCGATTCATGCGGATCTCAGAATCCACATGCCTGTTTTCCACAGATCCAGATACTTTCTTCTGTTTATTTAGGCATTGACCCTTCATTTCCTTTCAGAGAGGAAACTGGGCATTCAAGCCTCTACCATGCTCTGCCTGGATTATTGTAGCAATATCCTGGCCATCCTGGAGACACTGTTGTACCCCAGTTCTTCCTTACCTAGGTGCAGCCAGAGAGATTGTTTATAATGTACATGAAACAATGTTACTTCTGCTTGTAATGGCCTCCTTATGCATAAAATAAAATCTAAACACCCATGTGGCCTACGAGATCTTGCACCATCTGATTCCTGTTAACCTCTGCAATCACAGTTCTTATCTTTATTCCATATTTACCACATCCCAGCCATACAAAACTTTCTTCTATCCTTAAAAACTCCGAGCTCAGGGCCTTTGACCTTGCTGTTAATACCTAGAATAGTTTCCCTCCAGATCTTCACAGTGAGGTTCATTCTTATTCAGTTGTCTATTCAAATGACACCTCATCAGTTAGACAGACCATCCTAGACCACACTGACCAAAGCACTGCCTCTACAACATGTCACCATTTAACCATTCACTTTGGCTTGTTTCCTTCACAGTATTAATCATTGTCAGATGTTATCTTAATTACTCTTTGCTTCCTGTGCACTGTCAGTCTCTGTTCCCTCATCCTCACTACAATGCAAGAGATATGAGATCAGGGACTTCATCTGTCTTTTTCATTGCCCCTAGACTAGTGAATATCTCAGAGTAGGTGCTCAGGCAGTATGTGTTGAATAAATGGAAGAAAGAAAGAAATTGTGAGAGAGAAGAAAATGGTGATGGAGAGGGAGAGTGTAAGAAAAATACGCATTATTAACAAGGTCAAGTCCTGGAGTTTTTTTCTTTTTCACCTTAGTGATGTTATGTAATTGTCACAACCAAGGAAAAGAAATGGAGAAATCTTTGTCTGTGACTTGAACACAGACTTTTCTGGCTCCAAAATTTAGGGTAGTTAATTGAGGAAATTGTTGGACAGCTCTGAGCACTACTAGGTACAACGTAATGCCCTCTAAATTAAGGGTCAATTTCAGCCACAGGAGGAAGAAAAATCCCCCCAAATACTCAGAATGGTAGAAATGGCTTCCAGTTCCACAATGCCTCCTTTACTCACTGGATGAGCCCTTAACCACATTCCATCAGAGCCTAAGGCTGTAGCTTAAGACTTTGATTCCTATTTCTAAAGCAAATCTATCTGAGAGGAGTAAGGTTTGTAGCTCTACTCTTTTTCTTTTATATTTATTTGTGAATACCCTAGCGTTATTTACAGACGATGGGTTCACGTGTGTGCTGAGAGATGGGAGGTGAGAATAGACAGGCAGACCTGAAAGACAGTCTAACGGAGGAATCTCGACCCTGGCTGCATATTGGCCACTGGAAAGATTTTGTAAATGTCTATGTCCAGGCCTATGTCAAGTTTTGGTCTCAGTTGGTCTGGGAGAAGCCTGGATATGGACATTTTTAAAGGCTCTCCAGATTATTATATTGTGGCCAGAGTCAAGACAACTAATCTAAAAAGTGGGTGCCAGGAAGATTTAGCTTGTTTTGAGGCATCCTCCTTTTATAATTTGGCATTTTACAGTGGGATTTACCAGGTAATACAAAATCACTGAAAGCCAACTATACATAAGGTGTGGGAACAGGAGCTGTGAGAGACAGAGACAGACATGTTTCTCAGACAGTCCTCTCACCATGAGGACCTTACAAAACAAACAAAGTAGGGGCTGCTGACATTACTGAAATGTGAAATAAATGATATATGTTTAGAGCAAGGTTCCTCACTCTCAGCATTACTGACATTTTGTGACAGACAATTATTTCTTGTAGGAGGTAGTCCTGTGCATTGTAAAGTGTTTAGCAGTATCCCTGGCCACTACCCACAGAATTCAGAAGTCCCCTCTCCCAGTTATGACAACAAAAATGTTTCTAGACATTACCGGATGTCCTTTGATTTGGGGGTGGTAAAATCCCCCCCTAGTTGAAGACACTGTGGTTGTTGGGATCATGCAAAGCTCCTGTGGAGGTGGGTCAATTTGACTAGAGATAGGATTGATTGGATTATCAGAGAAAACTTAGGGCTTTGTGGGCTCCTGGGACAGAAACCCACATTTCTCAATGCAGTGGCTTAAGGTAGTTCTACCTCCTATAGGGGCTACCTGAATGGATGCTTGTCAGGGCTGAACACTCATCACCTCCATCTTGTCCGGTGGGCTGGTTTCCAAGACTGGGGAGATTGACAACCCAAACTCAGTTCAAGGTTACTTACTTGTCAACTGGCTGGAGTGGAACTCAGGAGGACTCTAAAGTGGCTATGCCCAAATCAGGTGGATAACCAACCACTCATTTGACAGTATGTGTCAGGAGGAGTGGTAGTGACAATATCAAAGCACTGAGGACCATAGAGGCCTTGCCCCACTTTTCTGGGATGCACTAAATTCAGGGAATTTATAACTGAAGGGAGTGGTAAAGAAATTGGCAGAATGATAAATATTGAAGCCAGTTGGGACTCAGGACTGGATTCGATTTGATCTAAGAAAATAAATATACAAGTTATCTCTTGCATGTGAGTAATATGGAGTAATTAGTTCTTGTTATAATAATGATTCTGTTTTTAGAAATTTATCTTAATGAGGTAAACATAACTGTATGAAAAGGCTAGCTACAGTAATGTTCATTATACCCCTTCAATACAATAAAAAATTGAAAAGGGTGTAGATATTTATCAATAAAATACTGCTTAAATGCATTTCCGTTCATTCACACAAAGTGGTGTGCAAACTGAACTGCATATTGTGGAAAAATCTTTAATTACTAGGAGAAAGTTAATATATATTTTAAGTGGCAAAGACATTAAAAATGATATCCATTTTTGAAAAATAAAATGGAACCAGGTAAGCATATGTGCATTAAAAATAATTTGGAACATACATATCAAGGGTTGACAGTAGGAATTTTTAGGTGATGAAATAATATGTCATTTTAAATAATTTTTAATTGATATATAATATTGGTACATAGTTGTATGAATTTTGTTGCATGCATATGATTTGTAATTGTCAAGTCAGGGTATTTGAAATATCCATCACCTCGAGTGTTTATTAATTCTATGTCTTAGTAACATTGCAAATCCTCCCTTCTAGCCAGTTTGAAATATGAAAAACATTGTTGTTAACTGTAGCTACACTACTCTGCTATCACACATCAGAACTTATTCCTCTAAATTATATGTTTGTACCCATAAGCCAGCCTCTCTTTATCTCTGTACCTATCTGCTATTCAGAAACCCTTCTCAGGCTCTGGTACTTATCATCCTACTCTCTAACTTGATGAGATTAATTTTTAGCTCCCACATATGAGTGAGAACATGTAATATTTGTCTTTCTGTGCCTGACTTATTTCTCTTAATATAATGACCTCCAGATCCATCCATGTTGCTGCAAATGACATTATTTCATTCTTTTTTATGGCTGAACAGTATTCCATTGTGCATATACCAAATTTTCTTTATTCATTCATTCATTGACAGGGACTATAAACATGGAGGTGTAGGTATTACTTTGGTATATTGATTTTTTTTCCTCTGGATAAATACCCAGTAAAGAAATTGCTGGATCATATGGTAGTTCTATTTGTATTTGTGTATGAGAATGCTTTACACTATTTTCCATAGTGACTGTACTAATGTACATTTCCTCCAACAGTGTATAAGAGTCCCCTTTTCTTCACATCCTCACCAGCATCTGTAATTATTTTTTATAATAACCATTCTAACTTGGATAAGATGATATCTCATTGTGGTTTTGATTTATATTTATCTGATGGTTAGTTATATTGAGCATTTTTTCATATTTTCGACTATTTCTGTGTCTTTCTTTTAAGAAATGTCTATTCATGTCCTTTGCCTACTTTTTCTCTCTTTCTCAACTTTTAGTTTAGATTCAGGGAGTATATGTGCAGGTCTGTTACCTGGAAATATTGCATGATGCTGAGGTTTGGAGTATGAGAAGTCTTATCACTCAGGTACTGAGCATAGTACCCAATAGTTTTCCAACCCATCCCCTCTCATTTTCTGCCTCCTCTAGTAGTCCCCAGTTTCTATTGCCATATTTATGTTTATGAGTACCCAATATTTAGTTCCACTTATAAGTGAGAATATGCAGCATTTGGTTTTCTGTTCCTGCATTAATTTGTTCAGATAATGGCTTCCAGATCCATCCATGTTGCTGCAAAGGACACAATTTCATTCTTTTTTATGGCTGTGTAGTATTCCATGATGTATACATATCTGATGTATATCTGATCCAGCATTGATGGGCACCTAGATTGATTCCACATCTTTGCTATTGTATATCATGCTATGATGAACATGTAAATACATGTGTCTTTTTGGTAGAGCAATTGATTTCCTTTTGGATATATATCCAGTAATAGGATTGCTGGGTTGAATGGTAGTTTCATTTTAAGTTCTTTGAGAAATCGCTGAACTGCTTTCCATAGTGACTGAACTAATTTATATTCCCACCCACAGTGTATGTGCATTCCCTTTTCTCTGCACCATTGCCAACATCTGTTGTTTCTTGACTTTTATTAATAGCCATTCTGACTCATGTGAGATGGTATCTTATTGTGGTTTTGATTTGCATTTCTCTGATGATTAGGTGATGTGGAGCATTATTTCATGTGCTTATTGGACACTTTTATGTCTTCTTTTGAGAGGTCTCCATTCATGTATTTTGCCCATTTTGTAGTGGGGTTTTTGTTTTGGGCTTGTTCAATTGTTTAAGTTCCTTATGTATTCTGGATATTAGACCTTCGTTAGATGTTGGATATATAGTTTGCAAATATTTTCTCCCATTTTGTAAGTTGTCTGTTTACTCTGTTGATAATTTATTTTGTTGTACAGAAGCTCTTTCATTTAATTAGTCCCACTTGTCAATTTTTGTTTTTGTTGCAATTGCTGTTGAGGACTTAGTCATAAATTATTTTCCAAGGCCAATGTCCAGAATGGTGTTTCCTAGGTTTTATTCTAGAATTCTTATGGTTTGAGGTCTTACATTTAACTCTTTAATCCAACTTGAGTTAATTTTTCTATATGGTGAAGGGTAGGGGTCCACGTTCATTCTTCTGCAAATGACTAGCCAGCTATCCCAGCACCATTTATTGAATAGGGAATTTTTCCCCATTGCTTGTTTTTGTTGACTTTACCAAAGACCAGATGGCTGTAAGTGTGTGATGTGCACCTTTACTTCTGGGTTCTCTATTCTGTTTCTTTGGTCTATGTGTCTTTTTTTTTTTTTCTGTTTTGGTTATTGTAGGCTTATTGGATAGATTTAAGTCAGGTAATGTGATGCCTCCAGCTTTGTTCTTTTTTGCTTAGGATTGCTTTGGCTATGGAGCTTATTTTTCTGGTTTTATATGTATTTTAGAATAGTTTTTTTCCCCAACTCCATGAAAAATACCTTGGTAATTTGATAGCAATAGCATTGAATATGTAGATTGCTTTTGGAAGTATGGCCATTTTAATGATATTGTTTTAATCCATGAGCATGTAATGTTTTTCCATTTGTTTGTATCATCTGTGATTTCTCTCAGTAGTGTTTTAAAGTTATCCTTGTAAAGATATTTTACTTCCTTGGTTATATGTATTCCTAGGCTTTCTTGTGGCTATCATAAATTAAACTGCATACTTGATTTGACTTGATTCAAGCTTGCAGCTTGAATGTTATTGGTGTATCGGAATGCTACAGACTTTTGTACATTGATTTTTGTATCCTGAAACTTTACTAAAGTCATTTATCAACTCTAAGAGCTTTTTGGAAGATTTGTTAGGGTTTTCTAGGTATAGAATTATATCCTCCACAAAGAGAAATAGTTTGACTGCTTCTTTTCCTATTTGGATGTCTTTTATTTATTTATCTTGCTGTTTGCTCTGGCTAACACTTCCAGTACTATGTTGAACAGGAGTGGTGACAGTAGGCATCTTTATGTTTTTCTAGTTCTCAAGGTTTTTTTCTCATTCACTGTGATGTTGCCTGTGGGTTTGTTCCACAGGCAATAAAAGCTAATATAAGATATTACCTTTTATTAATTTAAAAATTAATATCTTATATTAGCTTTTATTAATTAATAAAAGCTAATAAAAGCTAATATAAGATAGCTTTTATTAATTTGAGATATATTCTTTTGATGCCTAATATGTTGAGAGTTTTTAACATGAAGGGATGTTAGATTTCATCAAAAATGTTTTCCACATTTATTGAGATGATTATATGGTTTTTGTTTTTAATTCAGTTTATGTGGTGAATCACATTTATTGACTTGTGTATGTTGAACCAAACTTGCAGCCCAGGAATGAAGCCTACTTGATCACAGTAAGTTAAAATTTTTATGTGTTTTTAGATTTGGTTAACCAGTAACTTGCTGAGGATTTTTGAGTTTATGTTCATCATGGAAATGGGCCTGTAGTTTTTCATTTTTCATTGTTTCTTTGCCAGGTTTAGGTATTAGGGTAATGATGGCTTCATAGAATGAGTGAGGGAGGAGTCCTTCCTACTCAATTTTTTGGAATAGCTTCAGTAGAATTGGTACCAGCTCTTCTTTGCATGTCTGGTAGAATTTGTTTATAAATCTATCTGGTCTGGAGCTTTTTTATATGTTAGGTTTTTTTATTCCTGTTTCAGTTTCAGAACTTGATGTTGGTGTGTTCAGGGTTTCAATTTCCTCAATTCAATCCTGAGAGATTGTGTGTTTCCAGGAATTTATCCACTTCCTCTAGATTTTCTCGTTTGGGTGCATACAGATGTTCATAACAGTCTCTGAGATCCCTTGTATTTCTGGGGGATTGGTTCTAATGTCACCTTTGTTGTTTTTGATTGTGCTTATTTGGATCTTCTGTATTTTTTTTTCTTTGTAGCTAGAATTCTGTTGATCTTGTTTGTCCTTTCTGTTGATTATTTGTATGAATTTTGGGTTCTCAATTTCTCTGCGTTCTGCTCTGATTTTAGTTATTCATTTTTTTCTGTTAGTGTTAAGGTTAGTTTGTTCTTGTTTTTCTGGTTCTTCTAGGTGTGATGTTAGATTGTTAACTTGAGATCTCTCTTTTTGATGGTAGGCACTTGCCATGATAAGCTTTCCTCAGCATTACTTTTGTTGCATCAGAGATTTCTGGTATGTTGTGTCTCTGTTTTCATTTATTTCAAATAATTTTTTTGATTTATGCATTTTTTTTTGTTTACCCAAAAGCCATTCAAAAGCAAGTTATTTAATTTCCATGAAATTGTGTGGTTTTGAGAGCTGTTCACGGTATTGACTTCTATTTCTATTATACTGTGATTTGAGAGTATGGTTGGTAAGATTTTGATTTTTTGAAATTATTGGGGCTCACTTTATGGCTGAGAATGTGGTTGATCTTGGAGTATGTTTTTTGTACATATGAGAAGCATTTATACTCTGTGGCTAATGGGTGGATGTCTGTTTGGTCCAATTAGTCAAGTGTCAAGTTTAATTCCAGATTTTTGTTGTTAGTTTTCACACGTCTAATGCTATCAGTCTAATGCTATTTTTCTAGTGCTATCAGGGGAATGTTAAAGTCCCTCACTACTATTGTGTGACTGTCTAAGTCTTTTCATAGGTCTAAAAGTACTTGTTTTATAAATCTGAGGGCTACAGTTTAGGTAAATATATTTTTAGGATAGTTAAAAATACTGTGTTGAATTAACAGTTTATCTTTAGGTAATGCCCTTATTGGTCCTTTTTTACTTTATTTGCTTGAAGTATGTTTTATCTGATACAAGAATAGGGACCCCTGCTCTTTTTTATTTTCTGTTTGCTTGGTAAATCTTTCTTCAATTCTTTACTTTGAGCCTATGGGCACTGGTACGTATGAGATGAGCTTCTTAAAGGCAACAGAAAAATAGGTTTTGTATTCTTTATCCAACTTGCCATTCTGTGCCTATTGCGAGGGGCATTTAAATCACTTACATTCAAGATTAATATTATTATGTGAGGTTTGATACTATCGTGAAGTTGTCAGCTGATTGCTTTGTAGTTTCTATTGCGTGTTTGCTTTATAGGGTTTGTGGGCTATGTTCTTAAGTGTGTTTTTGTGGTAGTAGGTATTGTTCTTTCATGTCCATGTTTAGAACTCCCTTAAGGATATCTTGTGAGGCTAGTCTAGTGGTAATAAATTCTCTTACTGTTTGCTTATCTGGAAGATTTTATTTCTCCCTTGCTTATGAAGCTTAATTTAGTAGAATATAAAATTCTTGGTTAGAATGTTTAATTCTTTAAGAATGCTGAACATAGAACGCCAGTCTCTTCTGGCTTGTAAAGTTTCTGCTGAGAAGTATGTTTTTAGCCAGATGGGTTTCCCTTTGTACATGATATGTTTTTTTTGTCTAGCTGTTATTAAGATTTTTTTCTTGAGTATCGATCTTGGAAAGTCCAGTAACCATATGCCTTGGTGACATTCATTTTGTATAGTATATCGCAGGTGTTCTCTGGATTTCTTGTATCTAGTGTCTACATCTCTAGCAATATTAGGAAATTTTTTTTGAATTATTTCCTCAAATATATTTTTGATTTGGTTTACTTTTTCTCTCTCTCTTTCAGAAATTCCAATAATGCATACGTTTGGTCATGTTATATAATCCCATGTTTCTCAAAGGCTTTTTTAACTTTTTTTAAATTTTTGTCTGACTGGGTTAGATCAAAGATGGATCTTTAAACTCTGAAATTCTTTCTTTTACTTGGTCCAGTCTATTAATAAAGCCTTAAATTGTATTTTGAAATTCCTTAAGTGAGTTTTTCAATTCCAGAAGCTCTAGTTGATATTATTAAAGATGTTTATCTCTTCCTACATTTCCTTGATTGCTTTAGAAGTTTCTTTGTGTTGATTTTCCAGCTTCTCTTGGATCTCCTTGAGCTTCCTTTCAATCCACGCTTTGAATTCTTTATCTGTAATTTCTGAGTTTTCATTTGGTGAGGGATCATTACTGGCGAGCTAGTGCAATCATTTGGTGGTATCACTACATTCAGATTCTTCATAGTGCCAGATTCTTAAACTGGTTCCTTTTCTTCTAGAGATGCTGGCATTTCTAGTTTTGTAATTATTTTCATGCGGGTAGAAGTTTTGCTTTTTCTTTCTTTCCATATAATATTTTTTCTTTCCGTTTTTCTTTATCTTCTTCCCTAGGGCATGTGTCTGTAGAGAATACTGGTTAGGGTCTATGGGCTTTGCTTCTATAGCCCTATGCACTTCTCTTAGCATTTTTCATGTTGGGCTGTGAAGTTTAACTTACAAGCCAGTAGATGGCGCTTATAGGTAACAGCAAGTTGCAGCCAATGTGGCTGGGTATATACTTGATCCTTGTTTACCAGGAGAAGCTTTCCGCTGTCTCAGGCAATGGACTAATTCATGGAGTGTACTGTAGTCTGAGCTCCCTGATCAGCCGCGGGGAGGTGAGGGTAAAGATGGGTTGGATCAGACGAGGCAGTTCTGTCTACAGGTTCCCTGGTGGCAGGCACACGCTCCAGCCCTGAAAGAGAATTCAGTGGGAAATCAATAGGTGCCCAGAGATGTGCCTAGGCATGGAGCTGGGAAACCTCCTCAGCCTCAAATTATATACAGGGGTATGAGGGGCAGCCTAAACTCTCAATCCAGGAGACGATGTGCTCCAGATGCCTGGAGATCTGCCTGTGTGGACAAGAGAGAGCTCCCCTGCACCAGGATCACTGCATAGGTAGAGTGGAGCAGCTCAGGCTGATGTTCCATCTGGCACTCTCATGCTTGGAGATCTGCCAGGGCATGGAGCAAAGAGGGCTCCCCCATACCAAGATCTCTGCACAAGAAGAGTGAGATGACTTAGGCTGCTGAACCAGGCAAGCAAGTGCTCTGAATGCCTGGAGATATATATTTTTTTACTGTGTATATATGTATTAATGGTATCTATATATATATATTTTTACTTTTGAGTTAATTGAGTTCTTTGTATATTCGGGATATTAGTCCCTTGTTGGATGAATAGTTTGCAAAGCTTTCTCCCATTCTGCAGATTGTTTCTTTACTCTGTTTATTTGTTTATGTCCTCTCCGATTTCTTTCATCAGTGTTTTGTAGTTTTCCCTGTAGAGATCTTTTACCTTCTTGGTTAAATTTATTCCTACGTATCTTTAAATAGCTATTTAAAATAGGATTGCCTTATTTAACTTTTCTCTCAGCTAGTTCATTATTGGTGTATGGAAATACTACTGATTTTTGTATGATGATTTTGTATCCTGAATTACTAAATTTATTAATCAGTTCTAACGGTTTTTTTGGTTGAACCTTTTTTTTTCCCCTAAATTTGAGATTATATTTTCTGCAAAGAGGGCCAATTTGACTTCTCTTTTCTAATTTAGATGACTTTTACTTCTTTCTCTTGCCTGATTGCTCTGGCTAGGACTTCCACTACTATGTTGATAGGAATGGTAAAAGTAGGCATCCATTACTTGTTCCAGTTCTTGGAAGGTTTTCAGCTTTTCCCCATTCAGTATGATTTTAGCTTTGCATTTCTCATATATGGACTTTATCATGTTGAGGTATGTTTTTACTATGCCTATGTTGTTGAGAATTTTTATCATAAGTAGATGTTGTATTTTATCAAATGATTTTTCTGTGCCTATTGATATAATCACATGGTTTTTGCCCTTTATTCTGTTGATGTAGTTTATCACGTTTTATAGATTTGTGTATGTTGAACAATCCTTGCATCCCTGGGATAAATCCTACATTGTCATGGTGTATTATCTTTTTGATGTGCTGTCAGATTCAGTTTGTGTATATTTTATTGGGAATTTTTCCATCTGTTTATCAGGGACATTGGCCTGTAAGTTATTTTTGTCGTTGTGTCCTCGCCTGGTTGTGGTAGCAGGGTAATGCTGGCCTTGTAGAATGAGTTGGAGAGAATCCCCTACTCTTTAAATTTTTGAAATAGTTTGAAGAGAATTGTTATTAACTCTTTATAAGTTTGGTGGAATTTTGCAGTGAAGCCATCTGGTCCTGGACATTTATTTTTACTTATTTAATCATATTACTCATTATTGATCTGTTTGTATTTCTTCCTGATTTAATCTTGGTAGGTGGTAAGTGTCTGCAAATTTATCAGTTTCCTCTAGCTTTTCCGGTTTGTTAATGTATAGTTGTTCATAATAATCTCTGATAATATTTTATACTTCTATAGTGTAAGTTGTAACACCTCTTTTTTGTTTCTGATTTTATTATTTTGGTCTTCTCTCTTCTTTCTTGGTTAGTCTACCTGTTTCTCCATTTTTCTACACCTTCATAAAACCAAGTTTTCATTTCACTGATTCTTTGTACTGTTTTTGTTGTTTCTATTTTGTTTAGTTCTGCTGTGATCCTGATTTATTTTGTTCTACTAAGTTTGGCATCTTTTTGCTTTTCTAGGTTTTCGAGGTGCATTGCTAGACTTTTTATTCAAAATCTTTCTAACTTTTAAATGCATGCATTTATTGCTATAAACATCCCTCTTAGCACTGCTTTTGTTGTATCCCATAGACTTTACTATGTAATGTTTTGATTTTTGTTTGTTTCAATAAATTTTTTGATTTTCCCTCTAATTTCTTCATTGTCCCAATGGTCATTCAGAAGCAAGTTGTTTAATGTTCATATATTTTTACTGCTTCTAAAGCTCCTCTTATTTTGACATCTAGTTTTATTCCATTGTGATATGAGAAGATACTTGATATGACTTCAGATTATTTTTTAATTTGTTGATAATTGTTTTGTGTCCAAACATACAGTCTGTCTTAAAGAATGTCCCATGTACTGATGAGAAGAGGGTATATTTTATAACTGTTGAATTAAGTGTTCTGCAAATTCCTGTTAGGTCTATTTGTTCCTAAGTGCAATTCAAATCCAATGTTTTTCATTGATTTTCTTTCTACATAATCAGTCCTATGCTAACAGTGGGGTATTGAAGTCCACAACTATGATTATATTGGAGTTTGTCTCCCTTTAAATTTAAGGGAGGTTTTGTATTTGCTTTGTATGTCTTGGGGGTCCTGTATTTAGTGCATATATGTTTACGGTTATTATATCTTCTTGCTGAATTGTTACTCTTATCATTATGCAATGACCTTCTTTGTCTCTTCTTACTTTTTTGACTTAAAATACATTTCATTTTATACGAGTATAACTACTCCTGCTTGTTTTTGATTTCTCTTTGCATGGAATTTCTTTTTCCATCCATTTACTTTCAGCCTATGTTTGACTTTATAGGTAAGATAATTTTCTTCTAAGCAACATATGGTTGAGTCACTTTTTAAATCCATTCTGCCAGTCTTTTATATGAAAAGTTTATTTACATCCAAGATTATTATTGATATGTGAAAAGTTTATTTACATCCAAGATTATTATTGATATGTGAGACCTTTTTCCTGTTATTGTTTATTAAATCAATTACTAAAATCAATTTTATTAATTGATTTCTGATTGTTTTGTGTATCTGTTGTTTCTCTCTCTCTCTCATCGTTCTTCCTTGTTTATTGGTTTTCTCTAGTGAAAACATTTGAGTCCTTTCTTTTCATAATTTGTGTGTTTGCTCTATCAGGATGTTTTATACTTTTGTGTGTTTTCATGATGATAGATATTGTCCTTTTAAAGCCTAGAACTCCTTTATGTATTTCTTGTAGGGCCAGTCTTGTAGGGTTGGATTTCTTCAGCTTGTGTTTGTCTTGGAAAGACTTTATTTATGTATTCTTTTTCATTTACGAAAGCTAACTTTGCTGGGTATAGCATCCATGACTGATAGTTCCTTTCTTTTCTTCTCTTTACTTTTATTTTATTTAATTTTCTGTTCTGTTCTGCTCTTCAAGCACTTTGACTATATAATCCCATTCTCTCCTGGCCTGTAAAGTTTCTGCTGAGCAATCCACTGTTAGTCTGACGAATATTCCTTTGTAAGTGACAAAACATTTTTCTTTTCCTGTTTTTAGAATTCTCTCTTTGTCTTTTACCTTTGACTGCTTGACTATGATATGTCACATGGAAGGCTTTTTGGAATTGTATCTGTTTGGGATCTCTAAATTTTCTATATCTGAATATCTAAATCTTTTTCTAGACTTTGGAAGTTTTCCTCTGTTATTTTTGAAAAGGCTTTCCTTCCCTTTTGTATTCTATTCTTCTGTGACACCAGAAACTCAAATATCTGGTTGCTCTATTGTGTACTACATGTCATGTGAGCTTTGATTATTCTTTTTCTTTTATTTATTTATTTTTGTCTGACTGGATCATTTCAAAAGATCTTTCTTCAAGGCTTGAAACTCTTCTACTTGATCTAATGTATTACTAAAGCTTTTGAGTGCATTTTGTATTTCTTTCAATAAATTCTTCAGTTCCAGAATTTCTGTTTGGTTCTTTTTTATGATATCTATCACTTTGGTAAGTTTCTAATTCATATCGAATTAAAAAATATTTGTATTATTATCTATGTTCTCATGTATTTTGTTGAACTTTTTAATGTCATTATTTTGAATTCTTTTTCTGGGATTTTATAAATTTCTTTTTCATTGGAATTTGTTGCTAAATGATTATTATGTTTCTTTTGAGGTCTCATAATTCTTTGCTATTCCCTGTTTCTTTTATTGATATCTGGTGTAACAACCACTTTTTAAAAAAATTTTTCAAATTTGCTTTTTTAGGGAAGAGCTTTTTCCTGAAGATGTATTTATATTGTTGGTTGGGTAGGACATTTCAGGTGGTCTATTCTTTAAGCCTCAGTGGTGGCAATGGCAGACTGGACATGTCTGTCCTTGCATCCCAGAGCAGTGTACGCTAGCAGCAGTTTAGGTCCAGTCAGGTCAGTTCTTGGGTTTCCATGCAGCTTGCTCAAGTACCAGCAGTAGTAGTAGTAGATCAAGTTGGTGGGCAGGTCCTCAGGCACCTGTGAAGTACATAAGGCATGGGCAAGGGAAGTGGCATTGGTAGGGCAACCCTCTGACTTCCCAGTGATCCACTCTGGTGTTGATGATGTCTGTGATGGTCTGGGTGGGTCAGTTTCCAGGCCCACAGGTGACATGTGCAGGTTGGCTCCAGCTGTGGTGGTGGTGGCAAGTTGGGTGGTGGGCAAGGAGGAGTGCTCAGGTGTCAATGGTGGTGGATCAAGCAGGGTGATCCCAAGGTCAGTGGGCAGTGTGCTCAGGCATGGAGGTTTGGGGTGGACCTTGTCCAGGAGGGCCTGTTCTCATATACCCTAGTAGTAATGTGGTTGCTGGCTGTGGTAGGCAGAGGTGGGGTGATCCCCACGCATCCAGTGGAATGCTTGGGCGCCCAGTTGAATGCTTGAGTAATAGCAGCTGCATTGCAACCCTGTTGCTGAGGAGGGTGGACATGGTTTCAGTTGTGTCTATTGTAAATAGGCAGCTGGGAGCACATTTTGGCCCTAGGTGGTGGCTGCAAGTGGGGTAGCCGCTCATCCGGGCTCTTGTAAATGTGTGGTGGCCCTACTACTGGGGGCAGCAGGGTCACTGCCAATGGCTCATGCTTCAGCTCTGGCAGCAGCAGCCAGCTGTAGCACATAGTTGCAGGCAGATGATATTCCTGGGGCTCTCTCTAGAAATGTATAAATGCAGGACTCTTCAGCCTAGGGCAAAATGCAATCTGATGGGGCCTGGGCTCTCAAAATGTTGCTTTGCTGTAGCTGCTTAGGATTGAGTGTATATGGGATCCAGCATGAGCTCCCTCTCTGAAGCAATGCCATCATGTGGTCTCTAGGCAGCTCCCTAACGTTAGTCCCAGGATCTGCATGGGTCAATGGGCTCTACCATGACTAGGATTGCAGGAGTGGAGTCTACAGTGGAAATGTGGACCACTGGGTGTCAGTCATTTACACTTTCCCTGCACTGGAAAGCTTCTCCAGGCTCCAGCTGATCCCAGCAGAGCAGGCTGCCTTGCTCCCTCCCCTTCCTTGTTGTAGGTGTTCCCTGTCACTTCTGTGCTGCACTCCAGCATTCTCTCTAAGGTGATCTCTTCAAGGTGTGATTATCTGTTCTCTATTTTGGTTCTTTTTTGTGGAGGAGGTGAGTACCAGATGCCATTCATCAGCCATCTTGAAGTCCCCCTACCCAGGATAATATGTTATGTCATTTTTTTGCTTATATGTTTCTATTCTGATTTCTCTGCAATAAATGTGTTATTTAAAAAATAAGAAAATTCCAATGTTAAAACATTAAAAATAGGAGAATAGGTATTAAAGGAAAAAGAATAAATTTCTTTCCACTAAACCAGATATTATTGAAGAAATATGGATTTGAAGTTAATTTTATTCATCCTTTACAAATTCTCCATCTTTCACCTTTGTTTCCTTAACAAAACACAAAGTTGATAGATTGACAAAGGGTTATTTCACCTCCTCTAAAACTATATCTTCTTTCAATTATCCAAACTTCCATTAAGGCCACTCTGAGCTGACTGAGGGAAAACATTTTTACTGGGAAGTTTGCCTGTGTTTCTCAAAGGGGAGTTAGAGTACAAAACACACCCTTCAAAATTCCAATTTACATTGTTCTCTTTGAAACTCCCAGAGTGTTTATTTTTATGTTACAATTTAGGACTGGGTTGTGGAGTATTTAATATTCTGTAATGCTGTCTTTTCCTCAAGCTTCAACCTCAAATCCAGGATCTCTTTTGTACACTAATTTTTTTCTTGCTATTATCATTACTATAGTTAAAATTATTTTTAGTTAGCTTAGGGAGAATCTCCTAGATAGGTGAATTTTATTTTATTCAACTCTATCTTTCAGTGTCATTTAGAAAACAATTCATTGTCAAACTCATTATCTCTGCCCAATTTTTTTGCACAAGAAAATGTCTTAAAGAGAGTTAATATTTTCTTAAAGTGACCTACTTAGTTTGCTAATAGAAAGTGTGTTTCAGTCGGGATTTAAAGAAACAAGAAGAGTTTTATATTCTCTCCCCATCAGATATTTTGTAAATTGACTTTTTTACAAAATTTATGTTCAACAAAATGTACTAGTCAAGAAACACATAAATTGGGCCACGTGTGGTGGCTCACGCCTGTAATCCCAGCACTTTGGGAGGTCGATGCAGGTGGATCACTTGAGCTCAAGAGTTCAAGACTGTACTGGCAACACAGAAAAACCTCTTCTCTACAAAAAATACAAAAATTAACAGGCATGGTGGTGTGAGTCTGTAGTCTCAGCTGCTCAAGAGGCTGAGGTGGGAAGATGGCTTGTGCCCAAGAGGTGGCGGTTGCAGTGAGCTGGGATCATGCCACAGCATTCCAGCCTGGGTGACAGAGCAAGACTCTGTCTCAAAATAATTAATTAATTAAGAAAAGAAACACATAAGTGATTATTTCTTTAATATGGGCTATAAGTAGGTAATAATCTAATGGAATTATTTAAACTGTTTTTAGGCTTAAGAATTGAATTACATATTTTTTGAACTAGAAAGAATGTAGAACATTGCTGTAGACACAAAGAAATATTGATGCACTTTGTAAATGGCTGTTCATTTATTTATTCTCTTATTCTTTCATTTTATAAGTTTTTATTGTGTGTGTATTTTGTTCCAGATGAAATGCCATGATTTATGAATTTAGTGATAACTCCTGCTTCACGGACTATGTAATCTAATGCTGTATCTCATGTGTGGCCCATGCATCATCTACTGAATCTCTAGATAAAAGATAGAAGCTTGGAAAAACATATTTTGCAAAAATTCCCAAGGAGCTTTAAAAACAAATAAGTGACCTCTGCTTCGAACAATTCAGTGTTACTATAAAGTTGGTGTGTGAATGTCTACTAAAAATCCTATATAAAATAGAATAAGAATTCTGCAAGTACACAGATGACCTTGTGAGATTTTGAGGAAAATCCACATGATCCATAAACATAGAGCAAGGCAGAAAGCCAGACTAAAAAAAAAAAAAAAATTCTTTCTGAAACAGTAGCTGCCCTTGAGGATAGTAACAAGCTCAGCTGTAGGTTCTAGCAGCTAGGCAGTAGGCTCTGCCCTGAATCCGCACCTGGTAGATATTTGGAAAAGGTACCCCCACCCCAATCATTACCTAGTTAAGTAATACTCTCAATGGGAAGTTGGCTACAAGTCCTTGCTTTTCTAAGACAGTCCTAGTTTGTGCCTGCTGTCTGCATAATTACTAAGATCACCTGCTTCCCTCTCAGAACTACCTAGATTTAGACAATGAATTACATTATCACTCTACTCAGGGGCTACTTAGTAAAAAGATAGCACCCAGAAGCTAAGAGAGGAAAAATGTGGCATGGCTATGTTAGCTTTAGATAGTGGTAAAAGAGATGTAAAAAATTGATTTAAAAAACATGTCCTCTAAAAATTAATAACTAAAGCTGTGCCCTTCCTCAGCATTGGGGTCAGAAAGTCACATATATGCATTGCATTTAAAACTTGGGAAATTTAAAAGGAGAAGAAAAATCACTCATTCTTTCTTTCATCAAATAAAAGCAATATTCATATTATTTTTTTTAATATCCTGTCTTTTAAAAAAACCATTTTTTATTCAGGAATATACTGAGTCAAATTTTACAAATAATTTTATGTACTAAGTTTTCACTGAACATAATGAAGAGTGTATCTCCATATTGTAAACTTTGCAAACATTATTTAGAATGTCTATTTTTATTCTAATTTAGTGACTGCAATTTAAGCAAACTCCTATGTTGGGCAATTAAGATGTTACCAATGGTTGCTATTGAACGAATATTATGATGGAAATCTTTGAGTATAAATCTTTCTAGACATTTAGAATAGATTATCTAAAGAGAAATTACTGGGTCAAAGAATAAGGCCTCTTTTAAATTTCTTGACGTTGTTACCATTGGTTTCCAAAAGGGTACCTCAATTTTCATTCTATTTATTTCTCTTTGACAAGGTTGGGCAATCATTTATTAAAACATATTCCTGCACAGGTTATGCATATCCAAAGCTCCTTTGAATCAAGCACTCTCCTTCACCACTGAGAACCCTGCCTAAAAATTTTCCATAAATAACTGGCAGGTTCAGGACCACGAATGTGAGATGGGGAAAGGAGGAGGGAAAGAAATCAAATGAGCCACAGCCTGTCACTGTGAATCTTGGCAATAGGAATCCCATAACTCAGAGAGCCAAGATATAAAAGGAATATTAAAGCTCTAAATAATTTCCAATTAGCACTATTATCTATGGCCTGGGATGCTTAGCTCCCAGCTCTTTGTTGGTAACAGGAGAATTGAGATGCTCCTTCACCTTTTGAGGAAATGCCTCTGACCCACTCCATTAGAAGAGAGATAACACCTGGAACTGACCCCATAGCTAATCCTTGGGTTGTAAAGAACATAGATCCTGTGCCATCTAATAAAAAGCATCTACCCTGTTTGGGAAAATCCTAAGGCTCAAAGATATGTCTGAAGATGAATTTTTCATAAGCATGATGATAAAGCTTTATCCAAAGGTATTTATTGTCTGCCTACAATGCCTCAGACATTGTTCCTGACCCTTCAGATACATTGGTGAAAAAAACAGACAAGCCATGTCCCATCGAAGCTTGCTTTCTATTGAAGCTTGCCTTCTATTGGAGCTTGCTTTCTATTGATATGACAGACTATAAATATAAGAAATAAGCAGACTACAGAGTAAGTTAGAGATTGATATGATGATTAATTTTATGTACCAGCTTGGTTGGGTCATGGGGCTTAGATAGTTGGTCAAATATTATTCTGGATATTTTCGTAAGGGTGTTTTTGAATGAGATAAACATTTGAATCTATGGGTTTTGAGTAAAGCACATTGCTCTCCATAATGTGGATGGGCCTCAACCACTAAATGCAGACCTTAATAGAGCAAAGACTGACCTACACACAGACACACACACACACACGTGTGTGTATGTATGTATATATATACATATATACATATATACCATTGATATATATCAGTGACTTATTCTTTTTCTCTGGAGAACCCTAATACAGGTCATAAACATTGTGAGAGTCCATTGCTTTTCCTCTTGAATTTTTTTCACCTCTTTCCCTTCCACTCTGATTTAGAAAGTTTGGGTTTAAACTTGAAAGTTCATGCATTTTTTCTGTTTTGTAAGCAATAGGGGTGAATTTAATGTGCAGCCAGGATTGGGCTTATTCTTTCAAAATAGTCTGGAGTTTAATCCCCAAGGTTTACTTATACATGGACATGATAACAATTGTCACTTCAAGAGCAGAAAATAACATATATTTTTGTCTTCAAGGTTTATGGCAATTTTGAGATAATAGGAACGCTGGAAATTATGTAGTTTAGCAGTTCTCAGACTTTAATGATTATAAGAATCAGCTGGGGTGATGGTTAAGCTACAGATTCCTAGGCATGAGCCTCTGATATCTGGATTTGGGCCCAGGAATTTGCATTTTGCCAGCATGCTAAGTGATTCAGTTGCAGATGATCAAAGAAACACACATTGAGAAGCATCAATCTAATTCAGATGTCTCAGCTGACACCCAGATAGGGACAGTGGATGCATTTAAGGTACAAACCACAGCTGTGATGCAAGGTACACCTATGATACAATTCAAATCATGTTTCTTCCCTTTTCAGCTCTGGCCTCTTACCCTACCCTTACCATGTCTTCCCTGGACTAGCAGCAGTATCACCTGTAATCTTGTAAGAAAAGCAAATTCTGAGATCCAGCGCCAGGCCAATTGAATCAGTCTCTAGGCCAGAAATCTGTTTTATAAATCCTCCATGTGTTCTGATGCATTCTAGTGTGAGACATATTGCCCTGCCCCTCATTTCTCTGAGACTGACAGGCTTCAGCATGTGGCAGTCAAAGTGTGCCCATGCCATCCTTACTAGAGGTGTTGGAAATTTCCTTGATTACCTGGCGTGACCTATCCTGCTTTAGCCAGCCACTCCCCACAAGCATTTCAGAGGATCCACTTGATTGGAGATGCCGATGGGCTCTGCTGATCTAACCAGTCTTCTCCAGGGGCCCAAATACTTCCTTGCTTCTCTCCCTGTGCCCGCAACATGCTTCCACCCTCTGTACCAAGACTAGGTAAGTATTTTCTGATGGGTAGATGAGAATAATATGTCATTTGCTAAGGGGAACTAGTACTTGATTCAGAACCAAGAGAATTTCAAAGTGTTCACAAATGTAGAACAGGACGTTTTGCCTATTAATGAACCTGGGCTCAAAATAATGTGTCTAAATTGCCTCTTGGTCTGCATTTTCCACTACTGATGGACAAGGACCAATCCAGTCATGTTTCTTCCTAAAGGAAGGAGGAGGTGGTGCAGAGACAGAGCTTTGCTCATCCTGAACAGTTGCTTAATGATTATGGTAACGAGCTGCATTTATACAGTGTCTTTCATCCAAATAACTCTACAAGCTGGATTTATGTTCACCACTGCTTAAAACTGACTTCATAGAGTCCCAAGGGTATATCTCTCCTAGCCCTGTAACCCCTGCATTTGTTAAGTGTTCTGCGATCTTTCTGCTTACACAGACTGCAAAGGAGGATGGATAATGAGCAATGGTGGTGCTGTAATTAAGTCTGCAGACTGACAGAAAGGAGATTTGTTCTATTACTGACTTTCTGGTGTGTCACTGGTCCAACTCATTGATGTGTTCTTCCGATTTTACATCTTTGTCAGGGGTTCTCTGGGGAGGGATTGTGTTAGAGTGTGGGAGATGTTCAGTTGAACTACTAAAAAGCAAATCTGAATGCTTCAGACCCTTTGTAGGAGAGCAGTGCTCTGTGGACTCACTCAGCTGTGATGAGTTCATTGCTAGGAATTGGCTTCCCAGCATGCAGGACTGGGAGAGAAAACCGAGTTGAAACGTGTGGACTCTTATAGTGAATTAGCAGGTAGAGAGAGAGAGTCTGCCACCGCTAAAGACTTTGTTCTTTCAAGTTTCCAATAGTTGAAGGTAGAGTGGTGATTTTTGGCTGTGGTGTACACAGCTTTGTGTTGAGGAATGAGGGAGGGGTATAATTGGGAAACCTAAGGTGATTGTGGAAAATACCTGCCTTCAGGGGACCCCACTTCCAGTGCTCTTCAAAATGGCCTATTGAACAAACAAGGCAAAGAGATAAAGATGAGGGCATATGAGACTTTATCTATGAGATTTTAATTTCTTTTACAAAACATGAATCCTAAAAATAAACACAGAAACTGTTTCAGCTCTAGATGGTAGGTACAGGAGTATTTTTGTAATACTCTATGTTTATCTCTAGCTTCTTAAATGGCCCAAAAATAAAAATAGCTCTAAATGGAGTCATTGACCTACACTGCACAAGTTCTCCTTTCCTTCTATAGCATGGCCCAAGGACCTATGTTATTAAAAGCTCCTCTGGTGATTCTAAGGGACACTCCTGGATGAGTTTTGCATTCAGTTCATGAGAAACTTGTTTCCTGAGTCTACTATTAGTTACAACTCTAAGTTAGGATTTGTCTAGCAAGTATGCATTCCATATCCATTTCTGATTGGTCCGTGTCACCTACAGTCTCTCGGTTATTCAGGTCTGTTTGATTCCTGATTTGGGTCAGTCAGTAGAGTGGTGGTATTATTGATTGCACTGTCAGAGCACTTGATGTGCAGCAGGATCTGAGCCATGTGTTCATGCATTGCTTGATTTTAATCTCCCAATTATACATGATATACTTGAGGAGACTGAGGCTCAGAGCTCAAAATTACTTGTTCCAGATCACATAATTAGAAAGTAATAAAGCCAATATATGTACCCAGGTGTATTTGACCCTAGAGCCTGCACTACTGATTATCATGACATATCAAGACTCACTTATTTTAGATTTCTCAATTATATAGATGAAGAAACTGAGTCCAGAAGGGCAGACAGGAAAGGGTCCAAGGGCAGCAACATTAAAGCCAGTTATGAAACAGCTCTGGACTCTATTTTCGGGGTGTTTGATGTCTATACTTTTGAGGTTATTGATAGCTTACTGTGTTCTCCTCCATTCCTCGTCTTGTTTTTGGTAAGAACTCAAGGGTTCTCATCTGCCTGGTGTCCTGCTTCAATTCTCAATCCTTGTGTGGAAGAAAAACCCCTCTTTATTCCTCACCTCCAGTTCCTTCAATAAGATGTGTGTTCCAGTTGTCCTGGCACAACCTTCTTCTTTGCAAATGCATGATCGGGCTAGGGGTTTGTACTTTCTGAGGTTGCCTGTTCACAGAGAGTCTGACTGAATTATAAAATCGACCACTAGGTAGGGCATCATTAAATGAGAAAGCTGACAACCTGAAAAGGAATTCATGAGTCATTGGTAACTGGTTTCCTGGAAACTTTTCTTTTTCCATAACCGTTTTTCCAAGAGATGGAATAATCATATCTACATGATAGCAGACGTGCTTCAAATGACTCTCAAAGTTCATTCTCTTCTTTTGCTTGATTGGTGCATTCCCTTCAAATTATGTTAAATCTTTTTATTCCTTTGGGATATGTAAAGAGCCATGCCATTGGAATGTGAAATACTTTAGTTATACCTATAACAGGCACATGCTGAATAAATAAATAAATGAATGAATGAAGACAATGTTCCCCAAAGGTGAAATCTATACTACTGGTATTGTACATGAGTTAACAGGACTCATGAACATTTTCCAAACTTTAATAGTTACATATTTTAAATAGGTATTAGGTGGGAAAAGCACACTAAACTTTATACCAGGGCTTAAATATAAGTAAAAGTAAGATATCTTATAAAAAATAAGAGTTGAGCACATAGGGCAAATTATTAGTTTTACAATTAGAACTATGGCTTCAGAAATGATAAATGGATTTAAGGTGGAAATAGGAAAAGTCTTGAGGGTAGAAGAGGAGCCCCTGAAATGAGGAAGGAATGAAAAGAGAACTGCCTGAACCTATGAGTTTATGGAGCACTGTTATTATCTGTTTTGCCTATAGGTTTACCTTCTCTTCTCATTCCCTAGAGCTGTTATATAGTCTAGGAAGTACCCTTAAGAGAGATTAGAAGAGTTTTGTAGTTGCTATTTGTTGAGAGTAATCCCATGCTAGTTTCTTTGGACCAAATAAATGTTTTTCTTCTGAGTGATAGTTAGATGGAGTGGAAGGGATTTCAGGAAATTTGGATGAGTGATAATTTAAGTAAAAGTCATGAGACAGTCACAGTGGGCTGAGAGACAGATATCATTTCATGATGACCTCTTAGTCTGATAAGATGTCCAGAAATAATTTTTTAAGTGCTGTTTTCCTTCTTTAGAAGATGACAGCATCTGAGGCACAGAGATAAGTAGTGACTTCAGGGAAGACAGAGTCCCTTTCATCAGTTTAGTCAGTTTAGGAGCTGATAGTGCATTTCACACAAGCCCGGGAGCTTACAGAGAAAAGGAAGCAGAAAAGGAAGAGAGAAATACAAGTAAAACTCTGAATAAATCTCATGTTGGCGATTGAGGAAACTGGATTAAATCCTCCAAGCACCTTCCAACTTTAAAAGTGTATTCTCCTTCCAACTTCCTTTTACTGAAGCAGTGATTTAAAACCTTTTTTGGAGTCAGGGACATTTTGGGAATTGGGTAGAAGCTAGTAATCCTCTCCCCAGAAAAATACATACACAGACAATTTTGCATTAGTTTAAAGGATGTAGCTTTCCTCTAAAGCCAAGTTAAGATCCTGGTGGTGGGTTAAATTGTGGCCTCTCCCAAAACATATGTCCATGTCCTAATCCCTGGAACCTATGTATATTAGTCAGTTCAGGCTGCTATAACAAAATACTATAAACTGGGTAACTTATAGACAATGGAAATTTACTTCTCATTGTTCTGGAGGCTGAGAAGACCAAGATCAAGGCTCCAGCAGATTTGGCATCTGGTGAGGCCCTGATTTCTGGTTCATATATGATATGTTCTCATTGGGTTTCCACATGATGGAAGGAAGAGGCTAGCTCTCTGGGATCTCTCTCATAAGAACACTAATCCCACTTGTGAAGTCTATAATCAACCTAAACACATCCTAAAAGTCCTTCCTCCTAATACTACTTGGGGTTTTGGGAGTACACAAACATTTAGTCCATTACACTGTGAAAATTACTTCATATGATAAGAATAAATGTTATCTTATATGCCAATGATTTAGTTAAGGATTTTGAGAGAAGGATCTTATACTATATCATCTGGATAAACATAAATACAATCACAAGCTTATTATCAAAGTGACAGAGAGATTTGGTGGAAAAGGAGGAGGTAATGGTGCCCCTTCATGGAGGCAGGGATTGTAGTGATGTGGCCATGTGTCAAAGAATGCTGACAACCACTGGAAGCTGGAAGAGGCAAATAATGGATTCTCCTTTACAGACTCTAAAGGGAATATGGCCCTGCTGGTGTGTAGGTTTCAGACCTCTGGCCTCTAAAACCATAAAAGAATAGATTTCTGTTGTTTTCAGTCATCCACTGTGTGGTAATTTGTTAAACCAGCCACAGGAAACCAGTACTTTCTTCTATTCTAGAAAGTAAACATAAGACCCTTGAGTTTTCACATCACCATGACTACAAAATTTGCGATTGAAAGGCAATAGCCTCATTCTCACTATACTGGTTCAACACACAAAAACTTCCAATGCCTATGATCTTAAGTTTAAGTTTTTCCATACATCCAGTTCTTTTTGATCTACTCAGATTCATTTCCCGCTTACAACTTCTGATCCACATAAATAGGGAACTTTTAAAAGATGATGTGTTTATCTAATTTGGAAATGGTAAACATAAAAGTTGTGATAAATTAGTCTTCTTTAATGACTGTGGATAGAATTTAGAGTTGTGTGTGTGTGTGTGTGTGTGTGTGTGTGTGTGTGTGTGTATGGGACAGAGTCTCGCTGTGTTGCTCAGGCTGCAGTGCAGTGGCATGCTCTTAACTCACTGCAGCCTTGACCTCCTGGGCTCAAATGATCCTCTCACCTCAGCCTCCTGAGTAGCTGAGACCACAGGCATGCACCACCACACCTGGCTAATTTTTTATTTTTGTAGAAATGGGGTTTTGCTCTGTTGCCCAGGCTGGTCCCAAACTCCTGAGCTCAGGGGATCTGCCCACCTTGGCCTCCTAAAGTGCTGGGATGACAGGTGTGAGCCACCACACCCAGCCAGATTTTAGAGATCTTTCGTGCTGTTCAATAAGGCTTTGCCTTGAGATTATTTGTTCCTACATCTACATTAATTTTGGCAGCATCCCTAACTAAAATGAAAGAGGAGAGGAAATAGATCTAACCTCTATGAGGAGATTCCTAGAATGAAGTCTCAATTCTGAGGCAGTTATCAATAGACAAACCAGAGAGAAGCAGAACCTGCTGCTATTTAATGCTATTTGATGGAGTTTGGGGAGAAACTCTACACTATAAGATTGAGCCCCTGCTGGAAGAAATATAACTTTTTAGTTGTGTACTAAAACCAAATTTGATCCCTTGAGTAAGTGGTGCTGTAAACTTAGTGTTTCCAAGAATAGCCCAGGAGATTTGTTAAAATGCCAGTTCCAGGGCTTTCCACAGCTATCCATTGAGTCAAGCTTAGGACTGGCCAGGTGATGTAGTTTGGCTCTGTGTCCCCACCCAAATATCACTTTGAATTGTATTCTCCATAATCCCACATGTCAAAGGTGGGGCCAGGTGGAGGTAATTGAACATGAGGATGGTTCCCACATGCTGTTCTTGTGATAATGAGTGAGTCTCACGAGATCTGATTTATAAGTTTATCATAAGGTTTTATAAATGTCTGGCATTTCCCCTGCTTGCACTTCTCTCTCCTGCCACCCTGTGAAGAGGTGTCTTCCGTCATGATTGTACATTTCCTGAATCCTCCCCAGCCATGTGGAACTGTGAGTCAATTAAACCTCTTTCCATTATAAATTACCCAGTCTCGGGTATTTCTTCATAGCAGTATGAGAACGGACTAACACAGTACATTGGTACCAAGGTAGTGGGTCATTGCTATAAGATACTTTAGAATGTGGGAGCGACTTTGGAACTGAGTAACAGGCATAGGTTGGAACAGTTTAGAGGACTCAGAAAAAGACAGGAAAATGTGGAGAAATTTGGAACTTCTTAGAGTCTTGGAGAGCTCAGAAGACAGGAAGATGTGGGAAAGCTTGGAACTTCCTAGAGGCTTGTTGAATGGCTTTGACCAAAATGCTGATAGTGATATTGACAATGAACTCCTGGCTGATGTGGTCTCAGAGATTAGGAACTTGTTGGGAACTGAAGTAAAAGTCACTCTTGGTATGCTTTAGCAAAGAGACTGGTGGCATTTTGCCCCTGCCCTAGAGATCTCTGGAAGTTTGAACTTGAGAGAGATAATTTAGTGCATCTGGTGGAAGAAATTTCTAAGCAACAAAGCATTCAAAAGGAAGCAGAGCATAGAAGTTCAGAAAATTTGCAGCTTGATGGATATGACAGACAAGAGAAACCCATTTTCTGGGGAGAAATTCAAGAAATTTACATAAATAAAGAGGAGCCAAATGTTAATCACCAAGACAATGGGTTATGCAGCCTTATGACCTAGTGTCTTGTGTCCCAGCTTCTTCAGCTCCAGCCATGGCTAAGAGAGGTCAAGGTACAACCTTGGTACAGTCTCTAGTATTTCCTCATGGCTGTATGAGAACAGACTAATATGCCAGGGAATCTGCACTTCTAAACAAGTTCCTCAGAAATTTGTTGTAGATTGTCAATGTAGCATATTTTTAGACTTATGACCTTAGCTTCTCTCCAGACAGTTGTCTGATTGGACCCAGAAAAGAGAGATTAGTGTCCAAGTGGAAGACATCATTTATATTACATCCCCCACTATCCTGTCCAACTAGGAAAAATGACCAGATCGTGAGACTATCATGTATTGGGATGAGGTTGGGAGAAGAACTGTGGCTACTGTACCATTGTTCTTTGTCTGGACAAATAGGCCACCTATCTTTTTAAGTTTCTGGTATTCAGTGGTTAATTTGGTCAAGCCCAAATGACATCTTAGCTAGGTTTGAGGGGGGGGAAAAGATTTTCCTTCTCTGTTATTCTTTTATCCAGGTTAGGTGCCTCCTGAAACTCATACTGAAGCGGCCTCGTTTGTCTGGGGTAAATACCTGAGTTTCGTCATCTCACACCAACGAAATTGAGTACATGGACACAAAAGAAGTGGGTTTAGGAGCTGAGGTTTAGTGGGCAAAAGAAGGAGAAGAGAGAAAAACTCCTGTGTGAGAGAGAGAGGAGAGAAAGACAAGAGAGAGAGAGGTGCCTGAGTGAGATTTCCGGCCTACAGAGAACTGCACTGGATTTTACAGACTGGCTTGAGGAGGTGGTGCCTGATTTACATATGGCCCACAGATTGATTGGACTGGGTGTGATGTTTACATAGTGCTTGAGGAAGCTGGCCACCCCATCCTAATCTTTTTATTATGCAAATGGGTTTTCCACTTGGCCAGTTCCATGTTGTCTGCTCCTTACTGTATATGTGGTTGGTGAGGAAAAGGGAAGATGGAGCTTCCATGTTGAACATGCCTAGCCCCAGGTAGCCTTTTCCTATTGGCACAGCTGCTGGCATTCACTCATGCAAGCTTCCAGCTTGCTTGTCTATGTCTGCAGCTCGATTTTTACAGGCTGCTCTTTGTTAGGAAGGAAAATGATTTCAGGGCTGCTTTTATTAAAAGGGCAACCTTAACAAGGGCTTCCTTACCCTCATTATCTACCTAAATAATTTCTTTTTAATGCCTATATCAATACCATGTGTTAATTCTCTCATCTGCGTCTTCTCTGCAGTGTCTCTGTATGTACAGCATTTCTACTACTTTCAAGGTTGTTAGTAGAAAGTAATAGAAGTTACCTCTGGCAAGTTTAAGAGGAAAATCACACTTACTAAAAGAATATATGGTAGCATATGAGAATATTCAAGAGAACCAGAAAGGCGTTTTGAAGCCATGAAGCCAGGTACAATGCCCAGAATTATGCCTCAAACTAGTCTAGTGAAGATACTCTGTAGCTGACCATTTGGCAAATGATCCCTGCTTTCTTCAACATCCCAGCTTCTGGTTGGCAGTTTGGGTTAGAAGCATCTGATTTGGCAAACCCAGGTGGTGTGGCCATGTTTAAACTCGAAGAGCTGATGGGAGAAAAAAGCACGTGACATTTTCAGCCTGTGTATTGGTAGCCCAGCTCTGCCTTACATGATAGGGAATTTCTAAAACACCAGAAGAAATTTAGATATCAGGTGGCCAAAAAGAATTTTTAAATCTTAATTTCTTGCTTATCTCCATTTTTTTTCAAGTGTCAACACAAATGTAGGCTCCTCCAAAACTTTTAGTGACTCAAATCACATTGATCTCTCCCTTCTCTGATCCAATGCACTAATAGACTGAGTCACACAATACAAAATTTAATTATAAACCATTTTGGCTTGTTTACCAATCACCTCATGTGCATACATCTGTTCTTACCAAATCAGTGGTAAGCAACTCTAGAATACATTTAGTATTGACTACTTACACAGCTGGATACTGGGGAGCGTGTGTGACCCTACTGAAGGTCACCAGCTAATAACTGTTGCTTGGTTTGAATAATTTGCACTTCTGTGTGTATAATCAATTGCCTGTGGACTGTGATATGAATATGTTTGTAATATAATGCTTAAAAGCAGAAAGATCAGAAACAAAGAGCATTGATTCCTCCATAAAGGAAATAAACTTTGGAGAAAGACAGAAAAATGTCACCTATTCTAACTAGGAAATCACTTTCAAAGTGACTCAAAGATAATACTTAAGAGAAACATGCTTCTGGCCTAGCATTAGAGCACACCTGAATTTCCCCCAATAATTGTCTTATGTTCCTGGAATAGACACTGTTGAGTTAGACCATGTTTATACTCTATGCAATAGTTATTGGTGAGTTTGTTCTTCCAGTGGTGTCTCTTGCACAATGGCATTGCCTATCAAAGTCAGTCTTTGGTGAAATATTTAAATAAATATATCTCTATTTTCCTGTATATAATTCTAATTTTTCCCAAGTAATATCTCATTTCCAAAATAAATCTTTCATTACTAAAGGACTTGTTATCTAAACTTAATTTGCTTGATAATTGGCCTGTGAGAACAGATGAGGTCATACTAATTGTGAATTTAAAAATTAATTCAAATTTCCCCAACTGTTCCACCCTCTGAGAAAAATCTATCTGTGACTCCTCTATAATTTCCTATATCTGTTTCTCATACTTCCTTCATGCAGAATGTTTTCTCAAGTCTCCAGGAAGGTGTGCATGAGTGCTCCTCAAGTGCTCCTCTCCGCCTCCCCAGGACCCTTCTGAGTAAAGTCCTGTCCTGAAAAGACACAGGTTCTCAACCTCTGCATGCAGATAGCCCTTTATCCCAGTCATTTGCTTAGCTGTGATAGTTAATTTGCTTTTAAGTCTAATCAAATATATTGTATAAGCAAAACGACAGGTTAATAAACTGCTGCTTTTTTATTTCTCCAGGTTATTTTGCCACCTTGTGGGAACAGTCTAATGCTAAAATCTTTAATCCCAGGAGGCTGTCCATGAAGACCTTTTAATACCACAGTCACTGAGACTGCAGATCGTATCAGGAATATGTCAACTTTAACCATCTCATTGCTCATGCCTGAGCCATGTAGTCATTGAGTATTGATTCTTTGTGCTGAGGGCTTCTATCTTCTCTACATTTTGGCTTTTCCAGTGTCATGTTTGTTCCAGGAATCCAGTGGATTTGACACTGTTTATGAGTTTGGACACAGCAGGCAAACAAAGAGTGAGCCCCAAGAGCTCAGTATATAGTATAAGCAAAGGCAGATTTGGGCTAAAGGGGACTAAAACTTCCTAGATGAGAAAGACCCCATTCTGAGAAAGCTATAAGAAATCAGGAGAAAAATCAAAGACACAATAGGGATATTACAAATCAAATACTATTTAACAAGCACTTACTGAAAGTCTCTTACATGTGGATCCTCTAATATGTTCAAGTAAAGTAGTTATTAATTAGACCTGTACAGTGGAGTCACTTGTAGAATTTTGTTTTTCTGTTTTCTTAAATAAGAATGACTATGCCCTTTATAGGCCTACCTAATCAATTTATTGGGAGGTAAAATTTGAAAATCTAAATGAAAAAATAACCACAAAAAATCCTCTATAGTTGATTCTATGGTCATGCCTATTTAAAATCTTTTCTGCTATGGTTCCAAGTAAATAATTCACAGTGCTTTTTCTTGACAGGCTAACTGCGTAGTAGGAGACACCAGTATCTCAACAATTAGAAAGATTTATACTGAATCAGAGTGCTTGTGAATAATTAGATGTTTTTTTCCCCAAAAATCTTTTGGATGCATGTAATCGTGTGAAATGATGTAATTGTTCTTTCTAAAATCTTCTTTCTCTGGCTTGATGTCAAACCAGTCTCATAATTGTTAGAGGTTACTCCTTTCCTATTTTCCAAATCTAATAGATAAGAGATACCTGTTTCTTGCTGGTTGGTATCATTTAGGGTGGATCTTTAAAACTTTACTGAGGTGAAGTTGGGTGCAATATATTTTTTATTACTGATTTTTTCAAGTTAAAAACTTCTAATTTTCTACTGTTTGGGGTGATTTTGATTATTTTTCCAGAAAATTGGCTAATGTTTTTAAACTTATCTTTGTTATTTAGTCAACAGATACAAACTCTGTCCTATCTCCAGTTGTCACTTTTCTTCTTTCCCAGTATTATTTTCCCTATTAAGCCTAGCTAAAGCTTTGTCTACTTCCTGATGATATTACTTTTGCTTTTGGTTTTTTTTTTACTTTTACTATCATATCATGTTTTCTGTTAGATTAATTTCTGTTCTTTGTTTATTCCTCCACCTTTTATTTGACTTACTGTGTTCTATTTCACCTTTTGAAGAGGAATGTTTATCTTATTTTAAACCTTTCTTTAAAAATTTCAGTGTGGCTATAATTCTACCTCTCAGTAGCATTTTAGCTGATTCCTACTAGTTATGATACATGGTATTTTTATTGTTATTCACTTCTAAGAATATCATTTCCAATTTGATGTTCTTTGTATTACAAAAATGTTTTTCATCTTCCAAAGCATTATAAGATTCTTCTCCTGTTTATTTCTAATCTAAATATATTGTCATCAATGATCCTTTGTCACATAAACTGAATCTAGACAAACTCTGTGTATGTTTCATGAGTTTTGAAAATACATATTTATTACTTGATGCAGGAATATGTATGCCATCAATTTAAAAAAATCTGTTTAAAAGTATCTGAAGTATTAACTTATTGAGATATATGTAGATTAAAAATCTGTCACTAATGCTGTTGCTGTTTTTTAAGATTATGCATGTTCAAGAACACGCAAGTCTTTAACTTTTTATTTCAAAATTAAAACTTCAGAAAAATTTTTAAGGATAAAAGTAGTAAGAGTATCTGTGTAACCTTTACCTAGATCCATTGATTGTTAATATTTTACTACATTGGTTTTATCATTTGTGTGTTTGCTCTATGTATGTGAATATATATACACAATTTTTCTCTAAACCACTTAAGGATATATTACTTATATCACGACCCTTTACAGGCAAATACTTAAGTATGTATTTCCTGCGAATAGGGATATTCTCTTAAATAACAGAGCAGTTATCAACTTTAGTAAATATGACACTGCTGTGGAATTTTCATATAGTGTCTATATTTCATTTTTGTCAGTTGAGCCAATGTCCTTATAGCATTTTCTTCCCCATTTCGTGCAAAATCCAATCTAAGGTAAGGTTTGTCATTTCATTGTCATGTCTCCTTTAATTTGGCACATTTATATAGCCTTTGATTTTTATGACACTGACTTTTTGAAGAATTAAATCTGTACCCCTTTCCCTTTTTTGATGGGATTTTTCTCATTTTGGATTTATCTCTTGTTTCTTCAGAATTGGTTTTAAATTCCCCATTGTCAGTTGGAAAACTACAAAGATGCATGCCATTTTCAGGATGTACCTGGGAGCTACATTTTAGTGTCATCAATTTTCATCACTTAATCAAGGTTTGATTCATTTCTCCACTGTATAATTATGTTTTCCCTTAGAACCAGATACTTTAAGACTGTTGGGGCTACCCTGAATAAACAGGATGGAATCCAACCGAAAAGTTCATTTGGATGTTGAGATTCATGATGCCACACATCATGAGGTTAAAAAAAATACATTCTACTGACATAATTAGAGACTTTTTCGGGGGAAAGCAGGAAAGACTTCCCAAACTAGTCCAAAAATGGATTGCAAAGAAGTGAGAAAAAGAGACCGCCATGGGCATTTTATTATGGTTAGGGGGCGGACAGGGACTTGTTTGATTTCAGACTCCTGCCAGTGCTAAAGGGAGCACCCGGGCTTTCTTATCAGCTTGCCCAGATATGGGGCAAAATGGGGAGAGAGAGGGGTGAGGCTTAAAATATATCATTAGTCAAACACCAAGTAATAAAGACAGGCTCTTTAGTATAAATATCATACTATCCTGATTCCTGTTATAATTTTCCCTTTTAATGATTCTTGCATGAATCAGTCTGTGTTACGATGGCTGCAAAATACTGATTTTTTTCCCCCCAAATCCCTATGCCCTTCCCATTTATCAGTCAGCCCTCTGTATTTTACTACAAACAAAAGCGTCTCTCTGGAATCAATTTATTCTCTTTCTTGCAAGTGAATGGTAACCTAAATTATTTCAAAACAAAAGTTTAATTAAAATAGACATACCCTTGTTTTTAGTCACCTAAACATTTACGAATATTTAAAATCAAGGTTTGTGTTCACTGTACTTTTGTAAATTGCATCTCTTTCTTTTACATTCATTTTTCTTCCTTTAATGGTTATTTTGGTTTGATTGGGAGACACATCTTGCTTGACTATTTTTCCTCAGTTCTGCTTGGAGCTGGCATCTTATTGTTGCTGATGAAAAGTCTGCTTTCAATTTAATTGGCATTCTTTTGAAAATAATAGGCTTTTGATCCCTGGTAAATTATGAGGATTTGTTGTTGTTTGTTTTTATCTTTGTCCTTCTGGAGGGTGATTATGATGTAGTCATATGTGGACTTATTTTATTTGTCCTGTTTGACACTAGCAGTTCTTTTAATCTGAAATCTATGACTTTCTTGCTTTCTGGAAAAATTTCAGCCATTTTCATACAAATATTGCTTTTTCCATCTTCTCTTTTTCTTGGGCCCTTTAGAACTTTTATCAAATACATGTGAGGAGCCTCAATCTAACTTCTCTATATCTTAATTATTATCTCCCCCCGTCCCCCCTTCTCCCCACCTCTCCCCGCATCTCCCCCGCCTCTCCCTCCCTCATTTATCATTGCCTGCATGGGCAGTTTGGGGTAAAATGATATTCATAGTACAGAGAGTAAAGGTTTTTGCTGGTTTGCTCTTTTTTTTCTCAGAAAATGATCCACTGAAGATTTTGTTTATGCTATTTAATTAACAAAATTTCCGGGATAGAAAACAACTCTAATAGCAATTTATTTATTTTTGTTTTTTTTGAGATACAGTCTTGCTCTTCTACCCAGGCTAGGCCGCATTGCAGTGGCACCATCTTGGCTCACTGCAACCTCAGCCTCCAGGTTGAAGCAATCCTCCCATCTCAACCTCTTAAGTAGCTAGGACCACAGGCACACACCACCATGCCTGGCTAATTTTTTGTATTTTCAGTAGAGATAGGGTTTCCCAATGTTGCCCAGGCTGGTCTTGAACTCCTGAGCTCAAGTAATCCACCCACCTCGGCCTCCCAGAGTGCTAGGATTACAGGCATGAGCCACCACACCTGGCCATAATGGTAGTTCTTTTAATCTTGTTACTGCTGCTTGTTTTTTAAGTATAGGCTTTTGCTCTCCTTTATATATTTTCTTCTCAAACTTCCATACATGTGGTTTGAATATTCCTTTGAAACACACCCAGTGACAAGTTTTGTTCTGGGGGAGGTAAACATTATCTGGTTGACATTCAGTTTTGCCCCTAAATGTTATTTTGGACTCTGATTGGAAGATGTATCCATGAAATTGTTATTATTATTTATTTATTTATTTTTTAGACGGAGTTTTACTCTGTCACCCAGGCTGGAGTACAGTGGCGTGATCTCAGCCTACTGCAACCTCCGCCTCTCCAGTGCAAGCGATTCTCCTGCTTCAGCGTCCCAAGTAGCTGAGATTACAGGTGCCCGCCACCAAGCCCAGCTAACTGTTTTGTGTTTTTAGTAGAGACAGGATTTCACCATGTTGGTCAGGCTGGTCTCGAACTCCTGACCTCAAATAATCTGCCTGCCTCGGCCTTCCAAAGTGCTGGGATTACAGGCGTGAGCCACTACTCCAGGCTCAATTTTTTTTTTTATTTTGTATAAATGTCAAGTTCAGTGACTGATAATGTCACCTGCTTTGAGGTTTAGATTAATTGGAATTTAACGAATCTAGTTCTGAGTTTAAGCCAGTACTGATAACCAACACCACAAAAAGACATTCTCCATTTTAGCTACTACTGAACAAGTTAAACAAAACTCTGGATGTGAATAAAGAAACATAGAGAACCCTTCTACATTTGAGCCCACATCAGGTGGCATGTAGGTGGTGTAGGGAATATATTCATGTAGATGTTTAGATTTTTCTCTGCTAGTACATGTGTTCAACTCTTCTGATATGGATGACAACTATTTCAATCACCCAGACTCTCAATATTTTATATGAAGTCTCTCTATTCATAGTGATTTTTTTTCAGTTTTTATTTAATTAAGTGTTGTCTCTACACTTAACCAGCTATATATCCTTCTCCTTTATAAGTTCTTTATTTGTATATAGACACAGTCAATTGATAATTTAACTTGTCAAATCATTCAGGCTCGAACTCTAACTATCCATGCCATTGCCACCATAAATGACAAGTATTCACTCAGTGTTTGTGGAAGAACCACCAAACCTGGAATATTAATTTCTTCAGGCATTTTTTTTTTAAGGAATAAGACATTCAGTAATACAAAACACATATGCATTCCCTCTCTGGTTCTTTCCACAGTGCCCATTTTAAATCAAGTATTTATTCCTGTTAAGCAGCCTGTTATAAAAACCAAACCTTCAATTTTTTCCCTTGAAAGATGTTCTTTTTTTAAACCTGCATTCAAGTTGCACCTGGCTTTGTTTACTCAGTTATTCTAGCTTATGTTTGCCCAGGCCGGCAGCACTTTTCAAAGTGGTGAAGATGACTTTTATAGGGGCGGCTCAAGTCACAGTAGGGGAGACAGAGACCACAAAGCACAGTGAAAGCAAGCTCAGTGGCAGGTGAAAATGTGATTCTGAGAGGTGTGACAGCAATTTTGAAGCCATAATGCATCCTCTTCTTCCCCCCAAGTGACCATGTGCACCTGCTCTCTCCAGATATTTATATTTTTCTCAGAACATTGTTTTTTTTTTTTTTTTTAAAGCAATACCATGGGTTCTAGCGTATTGAATTTCAAAGGTGTTTAGGGCAAGGATAACAATGATGATAAATGTGCTGGGAAGAAAGCTAGCTGTTTTTTTTTTTTTTCAATAGGCTTACCAAATTTTCACTTGGAAGGTGCTAAAGAGTTTCGTTGTTTGCCCTGGGGAAGTCTAATATCTAAACAGAATTAGGTTGAATTGTACAGCAGCACAAAAACCTTTAGATGGTGACCTCTGCCTCTGAGCTCTGGTTGATGAAGAATTCTATTTTCTCCAGGGTCTGATAGTCCTTATGTGTTCCCTTTGTTCTCATAATTAACCCCTCTAATGTCAGAGGAGGGAGCTACTGACACCTTTGTGTGTTCTTTCTGCTGGAGGTTCCTGTGATTAGGATATTGGTAAGGAAGAAAATGAAGCAAGTATCTTCTTGTAATATAATTATTAATAGTAGTTATTATAATGATCTTGATAATAGTAATCATTTGACTTAAGTATTGCCAAGCTCTTTGTCGAGATTTACCCACACACATTGACTCATCAATAGAACCTTATAAAGTTGTTATCACTATCGCCATTTTTCAGCAGGGAAAAATGATCCTCTACCAGGTTAAGTAGTTGCCTAACGTCATATTGCAAGTTAACAGCTATGCCCATGAACCCACTACTCTGACTCCAGAGTTGGCCTTACTTTTAGCAAGCATTTACTTATACTGTCTATCTGTGGTATAGTGAATCTACTTAAGACTTTTGCAGTGTAGATGTATAAACTGTTATTTGGACATGTTTTAGTTTGGGAACAGCTTGAGACCTCTGGAATTGGAGTTACTGCAGCATCAAAGAAGAGAAGATAGACAGCTGTAATTAAGACTCAGTGTCTGTTTTTAAGAAACTTGTAATGTTGTAGAGGAAACCAATGCTGACCAAAGCCATAACCAAAATAATTATAGATTACCAATGTTGTAAGTATTCTGAAAGAATAGGAGACTGGAATACTCCAACCAGGAAAGCCTGATCTTGCCTGAATATGTAGGTTTTCTATTTGTTTTTCTTAACTTTGTAGTAGACTCTGCCTCTCATTCTAGATGCTGAAGAGTTGTTCCTCAATATCTGTGGGACAGATTGGGTCCAGGCCCCTCGAGGATACCAAAATTCACAGATGCTCAAGTCTATGATATAAAGTGGTGTAATATTTGCATATAACCTAAGTACATCCTGTCTTACACTTTGTAATCTCTAGATTACTTAAAATACCTAAAACAATGTAAATGCCATGTGAGTAGTTGTTATACTATATTTTTTATTTGCATTTATATTGTTGCATTGTTTGTTGTTTTAGGGTTTTTTCCAAATATTTTTGATCTGTTCATTGAATTCACGGATGTGGAACCCACACATAGTTAGGGCTGACTTTCTACTTCTTTTTCTTCCTTCCTTTTCAGTTAGAAAAAGGACATGTGTTCCATGATGGTCATTTGGAGCTAAGGCATCTGTGGAGGTGCTTCTGGGAAATATTCTGCATCCTAACAAAAACGTACACAGGGAAATGTGCCACCACCTCCTGTGGAATTCAAGCATCCTCCTGCAATACCTGCTTGTGCTATAGCTATCTAGTGAACATAAAGGGACCGCAGACAGGGAATACCTATGAACTGGATGAGATTACCTAACACCAAAATTAACTCTGGAACTCCATCTGCAGATGGCTTGTTATATAAGGAAATACATTTATCATAGTCCAAACCATTTACATTACAGCTTTCTCTTGGTCTTAGTGCTGCCCTGTCAAGGATGAGTAGTTGTTGACTAAGTGGAGAAGGCATAAAGAGAGCTCCAGGCAGAGGGACTAGTAAAATGGAAGGCCCCAAGGTTGAAGGGGTTTGTCCTATTTGTAAAATGGAAATAAGAGCAGCATGGAATAGAGTTAAAACATGGGAGGGAAAGTGGTATATGCTGAAGCTGGAGAAGTAAGCAGACACCAGACCCTGAAAGGACCAGAGGCCCTGCAGGGCAAGGAGACTGAATTTGATCTTCAGAGTGGGGAATTTTAAAAAATATTTCAAGTAGAGAAATGATCTAATCAGATATGCACAATGGCTTGGAGCAAGCCAAAGCACTGGTGGAAGTGGGAAGAAAACTAGAGAGCAGAGAATGGAGACAATGACTTGAAGTGTGGCCACTCAGTTAGACAGGAGAAGAGACCAAGCAGGGACTGGTAGATCATGTCAAGGCAGGGAGCAGGCCTGCCCACACTGAAGTGGGCATAGCATTGGCAACTCTGCCTGTAGGCCCTTGGTTCCCAACCTCAGCTCCAAAGGCACAGATGTGTGACCATATGGATCTTCAGAACACTGATATAGTTTAATTTCCTGTCTCCCCCTCAAACCCTGCTTTATTTTAGAAAATGTGCAATGGATACTTGGAGAGGTCACATGGCCTACATGTGCCCAGAGTCTCAAGTAAATTTAAGATATGTCTGGGCCTGAGAACTTAATCTTAACTCCCAGTCAAGCTATCTTTCCAATTGTTTTCTAGACACAATTCCTAGAGAATTCATGGACTTGAGTGGAATAATCCAGAATGTTTTTAGTTCATAAATACGTGGCAGTACGGTACTAATGTTTGTCTACTGAACAATTGTGATACTCATTTTTTTTTCCTTTTCTGTAATGGCTGCTGCTGAGCAGAAACAAAAACATAGAAAGGAGATGAGGAACATAAAAATGATGGGGAAGGAATACTGGGAAAAGTTAGAAGCTTGACAGTTCTCACCATGCAAGGTGTAGGCAGGTAGGGTAAAAGTGAGCAGTCAGGTGAGAACTGAGTAACACGTAACCCTAAAGGGCCAGCCGATATTCATTAGTCAACTGTGTCTAATTGGGAATATGGATACTGGTGTGGCTGTGAGAATGTGGGTGTTGGGTTGCCAGAGCTTCCCATTTTTCAAAAAAGCTGGAAGTTTGGATTTACATGTGGAATGCCTTGTTATTTAAATATTTGTTTAAATTGTTTTAAAACACTTTGTAGGCAACAACAATAAAAAAATCTCAGTTTCTGTTTCTGGGGAGGAGTAGTTTTAGGTTTTTGTTTTATTTAATCATTTGTCTTCTTTAGGATAAGTTGTTTTTTATAAATGAAATGTGAAGATAATTACTGATATAAATGTAAGTTATGTTAGAGTCCAAAAGAAAGTTAGATAAACAAGCTGTATTAGTTTCTTGTGGCTGCCGTAACAAATTTCCAGACTTGGTGGTTTAAAATAACAAATTATTTTCTCATGGTTCTAGAGGATAGAAGTCCAAAATCAATTTTATTAGGCTGATATCAGATGTCAACAGGGCTATGCTTTCTCTAGATGCTCTTGGAAAGAATCCATTTCTTGACTCTTCAGCTTATGGTGGCTGTTGGCACTCATTGGCTTGTGGCTACGTCACTCCTATATTCAAAGTCGTCATCTTCAAATCTGTTTCATCTTTACATTGCCTTCTCTGTGTCTGTGAAGTCTCCCTATGCCTCCCTCCTATAAAAAGACATGTGATTGAATTTAGAACCCACCGATAATCCAGGATACTCTCCTCATCTCAAAATCTTTAATCACATTTGCAAAGATACTTTTACATATAAAGTAATATTCATAGCTTCCCTGAATAGGACATGGATATCTTTTGGGCAGCCATTTTCAGTCTATTAGGCAAACATTTTGTTAATTTAAGAAGGTTTTATACTTTATTACATAATTTCAAGTCACAGCATATACATTAAGGACAATACTTGATGTTAGACATTCAATGGTTGTAAGTATAAATTGATACTTTTTTTGAAATCCTTTTTAATTTCAGTATATCTTACTGACTTTTCAGAATCAACTGGATCTTCATTGCTTCTACCCCATTATATGGCAGATGAAGGGTTTTCCAGAAGTGGCAGCTCTGCCATTTTCTTTCTTTTCTGGTGCTTGCATCATCAACATTATCTTCAATTTGAGGTTTCTTTTCACTGATCTTTTAAAGCCACTTGTTCATTCTTTACCTTATCTAGTTTTGGCTAAACTAACCTGTAATCTATAAATCAGCTTAACCTAGCACAGCTGAAGTGTAACATTTTGCAATATGCTGTTAGCAAAAAATGAGTGAGATCATCCTTGTCAACTCTTTTATGTCATAGAAATCCCAGCCTTGCCTGGAGCGGCCTGAATGTCATCTGTGACTTACAACATCTGACATCAGGGCAGGGTGATGGTGCTAGTGTCAGCACAAGTATGAAATATTAGTGCAATGTAATTTCTTAATTTAGATGAAGGCTATATGTAGGTCTTAGATTGTGTTCCCTAGAAGCAGACAGACCCTTAGGTGGGGATTCTTGACAAGTGATTTATTGAGGGGGTACTCTAAAGAGAAACCTGTAAGAGAGTGAGAGGAGCAGAATCAGGTAGGGGAAGAAGCTGGCAAGTACATGATTTCAGGAGAAGTCTAACCTCAGTGTGATTTCACAGGGAGCCCTGGAATGTAAACTACACCAAAATGGTTGTGTCTCCCAGAGGTAAGGGGGTCTGGAGTATTATACCCCAGCATCAGTGACTAATTATGACAGCCACTCTCAGGAGGGTTATACCTCCTAGGCATCCTCTTGGCAAGGGTGGCTCCTGTCAGTCGAGAGCAATTTACTGGAGAATAGTGTAGGTGGGAGCCATTGGCAGTTATCTGCAGCAGCTGGGGAGCAGGTGCACCTAATAGGTTGAAGGAAACCTGGTGGGACACCACCAGCATGCATTACAAATTTAGTCTAATATTTTATTCCAGTAGCTCATTTTTAAGACCTTTGCCTAGAGCAGGGCTTCTCAATCACGTTAGTGTTGATATTTTTGGCCAGATAATTCTGTGGTGTTGGGGGCTGTCTTGTGCATTGTAGGATCCTTAGCAATATCCCTGGCCTCTACCCACTAAATAGCCACTAGTAATCCCAAATTCCCTGCCACCAACCCCCATGACAAAAAATGGCTCCAGTATGGGGGAAAGAAATGTTCCATTAACACAGAAATTCTCCAGATCAATGTGAAAATAAACTGGTTTATTCTTGAACAAGCAGAACAGCCTACACGCATTTAGATAGCCTATAAAAGACTACAAAGCCAATAAAATACTAAAAAATGTATACAGCAAAGCAGGTACAAAGTTCTCTTGGGAATTAAGGTAACTATTACTTAATTATCTTCCTGAAAGAACAATAAAATGACTTATCTCCCCAAAAGATGCCTTTAGTCTCCCTGAAAGACAATTATATCTGGAGGTGCATTTCTATGTTTACTCCATAATGGTTTCCTTATGTTTCAAGGGGTTAAAGATCTGTGGCCTTGGAGACAACTCTGCATTGTAGACTATGCTTTTCTAGTCCCTGGAGAAATTTATCTACAGTCCAAGGGTTAGAAAAGATTCAGGTTTACCACATTCTCAAGGAGACTCTTTCAAGAGGGGAAGAGGAGGCAGCTGTTTCTCTTTATAAGCAAATTAAAAAAGTATTAATTTCCCTTCCACCAGATGTAAGGTTTTCAAATGTCTCCTGAGGGGCAAATGGACCCCAGTTCAGAACAATTAGCCTAAAGCATGGAGTGTTGCTGAAATGGGGTGAAATGGAGTGACAAATTCAGCAGTCAGGTGGCATTAGGAAATCAAACAAGCCAGGAGAAAGCCCGCAACCCCCGAAGAAAAACAAGTTTGCTTATAACACAGTCTCGTCTTGCATCAAAACTACCATTTTGGTGGTTTCATTTAGTTACTATTATATCAAGCCTTTATAGTAAGATTTTAAAACAATAAAAGTGAACTTCAATAAAGGAATGAAAGTTTTATGCATTGTCTCCCTCTTTTTCTAGTTTGGACCCAGGCATTGGAGATTTTTTTCCCACCCCCTCTGGTCTGGAATAGACTTAATGGCTATCTTTTACTAATTGTCTTTATTCTCTTTGTTTTCCTAGGGAATTGCTTTTGAATATCTTGCTGACTCTCTGATTTTTTTTTAATTAGTGGCATTTTATGGCTGCCTGATAAAAATCTAGTTACTTTTATGAATAATATGTAAAAGCTAGTTTTCTTCATCAGCTGTAAAAGACATATAACTTGGGTTCTTTAAAAACACAATGCCAGATTTAAATATGGCAAGAAACCAGTAAATCTACAATGGCCAGCAATGTCCTACATCCTCACATCTTTATTAGGGGTGCTGTGTATGTCACGGGATGTCAAGAATAGCCCAGAGAGGCAAAACCAGCAAGACTTTTATTGTGGGATATGGTTTATGGTGATGATGAGAGGAAAGTGAAGGTGAAAGGAAGTGAGAAAAGATGAAGTATTATTGGGTGGTGAATCACATATAAAATCTTTGTGGATGTTCTTTGCTTGAGGTAGGATTGGGAGCAGAGTATTTTCTTCTCCCAGTTGTGCCAATAAAATCTCCTGAGACACAGTTGTCTCTTTCATTTTTATCTTATACTATTGAGATACCATAAGCATAGAAGAAAGTGTCTTGGCACAGGTCTCCAGTACAGATTCATGAAATATTTGAGTATTTGAATGGCATCTCTACATGCACAGCACTGTTAGAATCCTGGGTATATATCTGGATAACCTACCCATACATTTGGCACTGTTTCAATGCAAATAGGTAAATGCCAACTCCTAGTTCAAGCAATAATAGAGGTGTGTGAGAAACAGAGGCAGCAACTAGTCAAGATAGAGATGACTAAGTATGAGCTAGCTAGTCTGCTTGTTTAGACCCAGAGAGGGTGCCTGTAGCCTATTTTCTCACCTGTTTATTCCCTCTTCCTAGTTCTCACTTTATAACAGTATAGAAGAAAAAGGTTGTGCACTGCAGCAGAAAACTACACATTATCTACAGCACACCCTTCCACTTTATGCTTTACATTCTGATTCTATGGGAGCTATTTTAAAACTGAAAATTGTAGGTATCTAATAGGCATGCAAATTCTGTCCCATCTGCCAGAAGTTTACTTCCTGTTCTGTTCCTCCCCTGTGAGGAGGTGAGTGTGCTTCCATTTGTAATTCATTTCAAGATCCCTTTACTCTATATAAATTTGTGCTTTTATGACTCTTCCTTTGTACAGGTTGTGTATCTGCTGGCTCCATCATGAGTAAACAAAATTTCTAACATTTTTATGTTTGTATGAGAATCATAATTTTGCCTCTTCCTGAAAATTGTTTTAATAACAGATTTACCTCATTTTGGCTCTGGAGTACTGGAGGTATATGTTCTGTAGCAGGGGTCCACAACCCCCAGGCCATAGACCACTAGCAGCTAGTGGCCTGTTAGGAACTGGGCCATGCAGCAGGAGGTGAACAGTGGGCTAGTGAGCAAAGCCTCATTTGTATTTACAGCCACTCCCCATCACTCGTCTTACCACCCAAACTCTGCCTCCCGTCAGATCAGCAGTGGCATTAAATTGCGCTCATAGGAGCACAAACCCTATCATGAGCTGTGCATGAAGGGGATCTATGTTGTGCACTCCTTATGAGAATCTAATGCCTGATGATCTGTCACTGTCTCCCATCACCCCCAGATGGGACCGCCTAGTTGCAGGAAAACAAGTTCAAGGCTCCCATTGATTCTATATTATGAGTTGTATAAATATTTCATTATCAATTACAATGCAATAACAGAAATAAAGTGCAAAATAAATGTCATGTGCTTGAATAATCTTAAAACTACCCTTTCCTCCCTGGTCTGTGGAAAAACTGTCTTCCACAAAACCAGTCCCTGGTGCTGAAAAAGTTGTAAATCTCTGTTCAATGGTTCATGAAAACTAGGGTTATGTTAGAGTCTGGATATGTCATATAAGCAGATAGAACTGGAAGTTAGGTTTTTTCCCCTCACCGCCCCACTACACACACATACAGTTTAGGTGTGGCCAGTTGCCACACCACACCAAAAACATTCCTTCTTACTCCATCTACTTGTATGGGCACAATTTCTCTCTTATGCCATTTCCTATAAATAGGAGAGAAATCATGAATTTTGTCCCATTGCTTTAACAATTCAAAAGACTTCAGGGCTTAAAATACTAGTTGGGAGAACTAGGTTTTATGAGTTGATAACAGTCTGTTTCCTGTGATTACTTACTTGAATTGTTTTTATTTTACAGCGTAGGTGAAAACACCAACTATTGAATAATAAATTCATCAGATTAAATGTTTGGCATAAAGGAAAGCAATGGGTAGTAATACCAAAATAAGCAATTTAAATCTGATGTTCCCCTGATTGACAAAGCCATTTCTCCTGAGAATATGTCAGGGTCAGTTAAATCTATGAAAATCAGAAATGTCATTCCAGCCTCTCTGCTTCTACAAAGTTCTGCTTCACTGAAGAATCACATCCAAAAAAATATATCTTCTTGGCAGGGCCATTATCTTTCTTGATGAGATATGAGCATATTAGAGTTCATTCTTATGTGAAATTATGGATGGTGTTAGATTGAAAGAAAGATAAAATAAAAATGAATTCATTTCAAACTAACAAGATATGGCATCAGAGATATGGGAGATCAATGGATATGTCTTATACCTTATTTTAATACATAAAAATCAGAAACACCTGGGAAATTTCTTGTGTTCAGGTGGAAAGTAAAAGTCCAATATGTTTAGAAGTATCTGGAGGCCTGATTGCATTTATTTTTGGAATAGTGAGGTACTGTTAATACAAACACTGGTATACTGAGTTTGAAAGCCAGTGTAAGGTAGTTTCACATAAACAACATGTCTCTAATTTTGAGATGCTCTTGTCTTGATAATAATAATGGAGCTTATACTGAAGCATGTGAAGCTTTTTTGGTAAACATTTTTTAATATTTGCTCTTGATTCTATGACTTGACTGAAAATAGAATTTTGATCCTATTGGTTCAGAACATGAGTAGAGACTTAAGTAGAACTGTTACTTTGGGAACTCTCTTCTCTTTCCAGCTCTGAATTTCTCAAATTACTTTTTCTTACAATCTATCATTGTGAATATTCTTTTGTCTGTTTGTACAATAAATGGACCATTGCATCAAGGTTCTGGGATGAACTTGAGAAGCCATATCAGCCTGCAAAGGTCTGAATAAAGCCGAAGTGGAAGATGATTGCCTGTCATTTTTACTTCCTTAACAGAGAGGGGTGATAGTGACCAGGGAGGAGAATAGTACCAGCAAACAAAGTCAGCAAACAAATGTATTTATTGAGCATTGTGTGTGACAAATAATAACTGAGGATTTGATGGTGAAGATTCCGAGTCAAATTTTGTCTTCGCAAAATTGAAGGTTAATGGGAAAGTGAGAAATTAAATAGATTACAAATAAAAGCTTACTTCTCCTCACATCAATACAAACACAGGCACTGCAAGCTCTCTTTTAACCAATTGTTTCAGGGCATTTCCTAGAAAGGTATTTTTTTCCTATGTTTTCAGTGGTGTAAGCCTGATGTTAGCAGACATGAGTTATGCTATTTTCATCTCCATGTTTCTTTTCTCATAGAACCACCATTGATTAATGATGCAGAAAGAGGGACAACCACGGGGAAGTGGGGAGCAGAATAGCAAACAGGAATTGAGGAGGAACTAATGCTGAAGCGGAGAAAGTATATGAAGAGATAAACTGCAATGTTTTTGCTGACTTTTCTGGGAAAAATGGAGCTGAGTGCTCTTAAGACTGTTACGATGTGTAACAGTAAAATCAATACTGATTATACCATTATCTTAAAGTATTACCAATAAAAGAAAAGCATTTCGATTAAGAGGAATTATAGCAGCCTATTCTTAGAAATTCAGAAAAGTGAATGTGATTTTGGTCTCTACTAACATTTGAGTTCTCCAGTAGTAATATGAGCTTCATAACAGAAAGAAACATGCAAGCTGAAGCTGATTTTCTGTGTTCTCCTGCTCCCTTTTTTTGCTGACAAATCTGGTGGCACAGTGAAATCTTTTTTTGAATTGAGGGCAATGGTATTCATCCTTTTAGAAGGCTTATTGGCAAGGTAATGTTAAGTGCTCTTATATAGTTATAAGTCTGGAGTAATCTTTCTTCTTTAATGCTACCATATAAATCAGTCCTAATGCCCCATTAAAATAAATGAACATGTGTTAATGATACCAACTTATGCCTCTTTCCTGAATGGCAATTGGGGCTGGGAATATGGAGCTATTCTGTGTCCAGTGGAATGTGCCCATTGAGACTGGATTGCTCACTGTCATGGGCAAGCTAATCAAACACAGCTCAAACAGAAATCCAAATCAATCTCTTAATCAGTGATTCACTCCAGCAGTTCCCAGCCCCTGCAATCAACCTGGTAATTGCTTCACCTGGAACTGGCTATTGGCACTGGAAAGTTAAGGTCTGGTACATTTTACAAAACCTGATGAATTTCAGAGGGAATTGTTTTTGCATCATTGACAAGAAATTTAACCCTTAGCATAGTTTCCTATTTTTCTTTTTTCCAGGCTGGGTTTCAACCTTGTGAGACAGGAGTTTTTCAGTTTTCCAAAAGAGGAAATTAAGGTTAACAGAAGTTATTTTATCCAAGTCGCATGGCCATTATGCATCACAACCAGAAATCAAGCAACTTTTGTTTTATAGAGTGTGTACTTTCTAACTGATTATCTATAGTCTGTGCTCATCATTCTGAGAGAAGGTTACATGAGAATGCAGCTGAGATGAACAATGTGTGGATAGACTTGTGTAGCACCAACATCCTAGGTTGGAAGAAAATTCCAAAACCTCAAATCCATGCTTCTGCAGCTATTTATAGTTATGTTGATATAACTTGTTAGTACAGATTGATAATGAAAATTAATTACTTGTTATGAGACCGTCCTAGCACATTAACCCCCTCAGGATTTCCACTTAGTTCTGGTAATTTGCTGTGCTTCCTTCTCTTATGTCTTCTGTGTTTTCCCCAAACTCTCAGCATTGACCTTGTGGTTAGCATTCTTTTTGTTGTTGTTTAATTTTTAAAAAAAATTTCCATCTCCCTGGCCTGCCAGGATAATGTGTTTTCTTTTAAATAAGAAAAAATAACATGTTTGCATTTATATGCAAATTTCGCTTTTCCTTTTTTCTAAGTTAATCCAATCATCTGCTGACCATCAAGCTTCATCAAGGTTGTAAAATTGGATGGGTATCTGGAGAACTAAAGTTTGAAGAGGAACAAACTTAAACGGAATAGTACATGCTTGACACCTCTTACAAAGAAACTAATGAACAATTGTTGCATACCTGTCATGTGAGGTTTTGTGCTGGGGTCTAGCAAGTTTCAAAGATGCAGAAGGCAGTGAATCCTTGTCCCTCTGGACAAGGTTGAATCCTGTTACCATATGTTCCCACAGCTTCCCTTGCTTTCCCCTTTGACATTTTTCACGGTTGAAATTATTTCATAAAACCAAACACCGCATATTCTCACTCATAGGTGGGAATTGAACAATGAGATCACATGGACACAGGAAGGGGAATATCACACTCTGGGGACTGTGGTGGGGTGGGGGGAGGGGGGAGGGATAGCACTGGGAGATATACCTAATGCTAGATGACGAGTTAGTGGGTGCAGCGCACCAGCATGGCACATGTATACATATGTAACTAACCTGCACAATGTGCACATGTACCCTAAAACTTAAAGTACAATAAAAAAAAAAAAGAAATTATTTGTTGGGGGCTGGGCATGGTGGCTCACTCCTGTAATCCCAGCACTTTGGGAGGCCGAGGTGGGCGGATCACGAGGTCAGGAGATCGAGACCATCCTGGATAACACAGTGAAACCTCGTCTCTACTAAAAATACAAAAAAATAGCCGGGCGTGGTGGCAGGCGCCTGTAGTCCTAGCTACTTGGGAGGCTGAGGCAGGAGAATGACGTGAACCCGGGAGGTGGAGTTTGCAGTGAGACGAGATCGCACCACTGCACTCCATCCTGGGTGACAGAGTGAGACTCTGTCTCAAAAAAAAAAAAAAAAGAAATTATTTGTCTGACTCTCTTCTTCTAATAGACAATTCCATGAAGGCAAGCATCATGCCCAATCTGCTAGCTGCTCTGCCTATAACAGGGTGCCAGGCACAGGATTGCACTCAACATAGTCAACATCACAGTAGATTTAATTATCAATTATATCAATTATACACTTACCTTGTACAAGATATGATGCTTGACATTATGAGTTAAAAAGAGGCATTACAAACCACTCCTTTATTGTGAACACACAATTTAGTGGGAAAACTGTCAAGATACATAATATTTATTATACTGTTAGGCCGAGCATGGTGGCTCACGCCTGTAATCCCAGCACTTTGGGAGGCTGAGGTGGGTGGGTCACCTGAGGTCAGGAGTTCGAGACCAGTCTGACCAATATGATGAAACCTCATTTCTACTAAAAATACAAAAATTAACCAAGCGTTGGGGGCATGCACCTGTAATCCCAGCTACTTGGGAGGCTGAGACAGGAGAATCAAACCCAGGAGGCGGAGGTTGCAGCGAGCTGAGATCGCGCCATTGCACTCCGGCCTGGGCAACAACAGCAAAACTCCATCTCGAAAAATGTATATATTTATTACACTGTTAAACATGTGATAGTAGTATACACAGAGTGTCATGTGCTGATTAGGTAGCAATATTGTTAATGATAATGTAGTCACCATTGATTGTAACTTAGCAGGTGTGTTACATGCATTATGTGATGTCAATCATATATCCTGCCCTAGACTGCAATCGTTTTAGTTTTTACAGGTGATGACTGGGACAGTTCTAGGCCAAACAGTCACCAAGTGACAGATATGAGATTTGAACCTAAACTGTCTGATTCCAAAGCCAGTGCACTTGCTCCAGAAGCATACTACACTATGTGATCATCTCCAAACCTCTGTAAGAAGGGACAGCTAACCCAGATTTGAGAGTTGGAGTCCAGGAAGTCTCATGAAGAGGGTGATGCCTCAGAAATTGTCAAGGGGTCAGCATTCAGCCAGGTAAATCTTTTAATTAGCAGGAACTACACATGCAAAGGAAAGAGGATTTACATTTCAGGAAGTATAGATAGTGGAGGATACATGACTAGATCACAAAAAGGCTTATTTACTACATGATAGAATTTATTTTTATTTTGCAACTCTAGGAGGAGTTTAAACTGATGGCCTCATGTAATTGGATTTACACATTACTAGAGCAATGGGGTTGGGAGGTAAGGTTTTGTGCAGAGCAGTAGTGAGAATTTTATGCACTTAGCATTTATTTAAGAGATATTTGTTGAGACTGAGCTTCTATAACAAAGAAGGCCTCTGGTCTGTGGAGATAGACAAGTAGCAAGGGAGTAAATAAGATAATTAAGGATGGTGATCTGTTTTGTGATAGGAATGAACTAGATGGTGGAGATGGTAGAAGGCGGTGTTGTAAAGCCTTCAGCTTAGGAAAGTTGAGAGTACCTGTGAGGAAGTGCTACTTGAGATGACATCTGAAGAATGGAGAAGGGACCAGTTACACTGTTCAGGTCCTGAGACCAGCAAGTATGAAAGAAAAAGTCTGAACAAGTTGGAGGAATTGAAGGGAGGTACCTGAAGTAATATGGTGTGAAGGGTGCTTGAATAGATATTGGTATAAAATCATTCAGGGCCATGTTAGCCATAACAAGCAGATGAGAATTTGAATGAGTTTAAGGGTTAATGAGTTGGGCCGGGTGCAGTGGCTCACACCTGTAATCCCAGCACTTTGGAAAGCCAAGACAGGTAGATCACCTGAGGTCACGAGTTCGAGACCAGCTTGACCAACACGGAGAAACCCCATCTCTACTAAAAAATACAAAAATTAGCTGGGCGTGGTAGCAGGTACCTATAATGAGTTGGTCTGATTGGGCTTTTAAAACCATCACTTTGCATACTTGCCCAAAGAGGATAGTTCCAGCTGTAATGACAGTGGTTCAAACATATCAGTTAGGTCTGAGAGAGAGACAGAGAGAGAGGAGAAGAGAAAGAAGGCAGTCATGCAGTCTGGGGCAGGTATGGCAGGTCAGTGGAATCATGAGGGACCTAGGTCCTGTCTTTTTCTCTGCTCTCTTTGGCCCTGAATTGCATTCTGAAATGCATGAGACGGCTGCTGAAGCTCCAGCATCCCTTCTGTCTTCCAGATGAAAAAGTAATGGGGGAGGGGAGAGAGGTACTAGCATCGTATGGAAACAATCTGTCCCTTTGTTCCATTTTTGTGGAAAATTTGCCCACTGACTTCCAAATAATTAGCTACTTCTACTGCAAAGGAAACTGGGAAATACAGCCTTTTTAGCTGAGTACATTTCTACCCAGAAGAAAATCAGGTTTTTGTTAAGTACGGTTCCTTAAAGGGAAGGCAACCAGCAACTTCTGCTACACATGTCCTGTGGTGAAGGGATTGGAGGAGGAAGAGAATATAAATGAGAAAGGGGCTATTGCAAATATCTAGACAACTAAAATTTTTGACTCAGGCTACATTGGTGATGTAGAGGTAATGGGATAAAACTGGAGATGGAGAAAGGATGCATCTGAAAGATATTTTAAAGCCAGAGCTGACATGATTTCCTGAAATTTCTCTCTCCCTCAAGCAGTTGAGGAATTGAAGAAAACTTTTTGATTTTTTTTAGCATATTACTTTTTTATTTACTGATGTTAAGAAGTAAAAAATGAAAAGATGCTTAAAATTACTGCAAAGGGTGAGGAGAAATGAGATTGATTTATTTGATTTGTAAATAACACTTCTTTTTCTTAAAGGATGCTAGCACATAGCCATGTCATCTGCAGAGAATCTAAGTTCTTGTGAGAAAGGACTCTCAGGAGAGTAAGGAGACTCTTTGATCCTTTCTTCAAAACCTGAAATCCCAGCACTTTGGGAGGCTGAGGCGGGCGGATCACGAGGTCAGGAGATGGAGACCATCCTGGCTAACACGGCGAAACCCCGTCTCTACTAAAAAAAAATACAAAAAATTAGCCGGGCGTGGTGGCGGGCACCTGTAGTCCCAGCTACTCGGGAGGCTGAGGCAGGAGAATGGCATGAACCCGGGAGGCAGAGCTTGCAGTGAGCGGAGATCGAGCCACTGCACTCTAGCCTTGGCGACACAGCTAGACTCCGTCTCAAAACAAACAAACAACCTGAAATTCACATCATGCTGGGTCTCATGCACTTGACAATTTCCCAATGTAGATAAATTTTATAATTACTTTGTTAATAGATAGACTCACCAGAGTTAAAAAGGAGAAAAGAAAAAAATGCAAAATTTAGGGAAAGGACTATTTTAGCAGCTTTCAATCTATTTGACTAAATGTAATATTAAAAATGTCGTGTCAAATACAGCCCAGCAAATACTAAACAATATTGTCATGAAACAGAAAATCAGTTTATGCCAACTTACGAGTCTAGGTAGATTGACAAGTCTCACAATTGGAATTCAAATATTTAGAAGCAATAAAGCATGTACTTCCACATTACGATGGTGCTGAAGGGGTTTGCTACATAGTAAATGGAAATATTCAAGAAATCCATGCAAATGCAATATAGCACAATTTGTTCTTAACACAACATTTGTCATCCTACCTGGGGAACTATAGGACCAAAGAGAACCTTTTTCAGGAATGAGGACTGCACACAAAGCCCTCATAGGTTAGTGCTAATTTAAGCCAGTTTAATTTCAGCAGTGCTCTGGATATTTATCAGTACGAAAGGGCACTGGGTAAACGCTTAAGAGACTTGAGTTTGAGCCCTGGCTCTACTACTTCCAAGTTTTGTGATGTTGAAAAATTCATATTAGCTCTCTGATCCTCAGTTTTCTCTTATAACATTGGAAATAAGTTTTTCTTTTATCACCTCAAATATTCAACATTTTTGTGATAAGAACATTAGAAATTTGCTCAACGATATTTCAATGTACAGTACTCAATTATTAGCTACATTCAGCATGCTGTACTACTGATCTCAAAAAGAATAAAACTTATTCCTTCTATCTGAGGCTTTATACCCTTTGACTATCATCTCCTTATTCCCCTGACACTCAGCCCCTGGTAACCACCGTTCTACTTTATGTTTCTATAGGTTCAATTGCTTTAGATTCCCACAGATAGGTAAAACATGCAGTATTTGTCTTTCTGTATCTGGCTTTTTTCAATTAGAATAATGTTCTCCAATTCCATCATGTCACAAATGACATTTTTCCTCTTAAGGCTGAATAGTGTTCTGTTGTATATATACACCATGCTGTATCTATTCTAAACTCATCTAAAGAAACTTCTACCACACTTTCTTTACTCTTCTGTTGATGGACAGACACTTAGGTTGATTGTACAACTTGGCTATTGAGAATAGTGCTGCAGTGAACATGGGAATGGCAGACATCCCTTTGACATATTAATTTCATATCTTTTGAGTAAATACCTGGAAGCGGGATTGCTAGATCATATAGTAATTCTATGTTTACTATTTTTGGCGACCCTGTATACTATACTATTTGCATTCCCATCAACAGGGTACAAGGGTTCCCTTTCCTCCATGTCCTTATCAACCTTGTTATCTTTTGTCCTTTTGATAACAGTCGTTTTAGTAGGTGTAAAGTGATATATCATTGTAGTTTGAATGTCCATCTCCCTAGTGATTAGTGGTGATATTAGCATTTTTATGCAGCTATTAGCCACTTATGTGTCTTCTTTTGAGAAACAGATCTCTTTGGCCATTCAGATCTTTATTCAGATCTCTTGGCCATTCCTTAATTAGATTATTTTTCCTTATACAGAGTTGTTTGAATTCCTTATGTATTTTTTTATGCTGACACAATTATCAGATGTATGGCTTACAAATATGTTCTTCCAATCCATAGGTTGTTCTTCACTGTTAATTATTTCCTTTGATTTGCAGAAGCTTTTCATTTTGATGTAATCCTATTTGTCTGTTTTTGTTGTCTGTGCTTTTGTGGTCAAAACTAAAAGTCATTGCTCAGATGAATGTTGTATAGTGTTTTTCCTATGTTTTCTTCTAGTAGACTTACAGTTTCAGGTCTTATGTTTAAGTCTTTAATCCATTTTTTGTTGATTTTTGTATGCGGTGTGAGACAAGCGTCCACTTTCATTATTTTGCATGTGGATATCCAGTTTTCCCAATACTTATTTAAGAGACTATCTTTCTTAGCCTATATTTTTGGCATGTTTGTTGATCACTTGACCATAGATGCAGTGGTTCTTTTCTAGGCCCTCTATTCTATTCCATTGGATGATGTGTCTATTTTTCTATGCAGATATCATACTGTTTTAATTATTATTGTTTTGCAGTATTGTTTGAAATTTGATAGTGTGGGGTCTCCAGCATTGGTCTTTTTGCTTATGATTGCCTTGGTTATTCAGGTGTGTGTGTGTGTGTGTGTGTGTGTGTGTGTGTGTGTTTGTGGTTCCATGTGAATTTTAAACTTGTATCTTCTCTATGAAAAATGATATTGAAATTTTGATAGGGATTCTATTGAATCTGTAGATCACTTTGAGTAGCATGAACATATTGACCAAGATTCGAATCCATGAACACAGGATATCTTTCCATTTATTTGTGCCTTCTTGAATTTCTTTCATTAATGTTTTATAGTTTTTAGTGCACAGATCTTTCACCTTCTTGGTTAAATTTATTCCTAAGTGTGGTATTTTTTTGTTTTGCTTTTGTTTTTGGTAGCTATTGCAAATTGATTTTTTTAAGTTTGTTAGTGTAGAGAAATGCTACTAACTTTTGCATGTTGATTTTTGTATCCTGAACCTTTGTTTATCACCTTTTTTTGGCAGATTCTTTAGGGTTTTGTATAGATAAGACCTTGTTCTCTACAGACAGACAGTTTAACTATTTCTTTTCCAATTTGGATGACTTATCGGAAGTAAGATTTTCTTACTGATCTTCAGAACAGTAAGCTTATTGGTTCTTTGACCATGTAAGTGATATTAAGTTATTGATATTGTTATTGACAAACAACTTAGAGTTAAGTGGGAAGAGATTTTTTTGAAATAACTACATTTATTAGTTGTTTGTAATAATAGTAATAACTTAGCCTCCTGATAGGTGAATTCAGGCTACAGATACACAAATACACAGGTATACATAGGCATGCACATAATATATACATAAAAATATGCATATACAATACATATGTATGCACAAGCAATATACATATTGTACCAGCTTGAGTGATTCAGCCATTTTACACACAAATACATACGTATACACACACAGATGTAAACATATATATTTCTCCCCTGTGATGTTGCCTTGTGATGATTTCTAAAAATTGAATCAATTGCCAAGTAATTTCATACAACTATACAAGCTCTTGGATTTCTCAAAGTCACAACTTTTTGAAGGGGATCAGCAGAAATGGCTTACTTTTAGGTGAGGCATAGACTTTTCAGTTCAGTGTAGTTCCTATGACTCTCTGTGGGCTTAATTTTGCCTGCTTGGCTCCTGATGATACTGAAGTTTTCTGTCCTTGGGTTAGAGCAGCAGCGGTTCCCAACCTTTTTTGGCACAAGGGATTGGTTTCATGGAAGACTTTTCCACAGACTGGGGGATGGGGGATGGTTTGTGGATGATTCAAGCACATTACATTTATTGTGTACTTTATTTCTATTGGTATTACATGGTAATATATAATGAAACAATTATACTACTCACCACAATGTAGAATCAGTGGGAGCCCTGAACTTGTTTTCCTTCAACTAGATGATCCCACCTGGAGGTGATGAGAGACAGTGACAGATCATCAGGCATTAGATTCTCATAAGGGATACACAATGTAGATCCCTCACATGTGCAGTTCTTGATTGGATTTGTGCTCCTATGAGAAATCTAAGGCTGCCACTGAACTGACAGGAGGCAGAGCTCAGGTGGCAATGCCAGTGATGGACAGTGACTGTAAATATAGATGAAGCTTTTCTCACTCACTCTCTGCTCACTTCCTGGTGTGTGGCCCAGTTCCTAACAGGCCACAAACTGGTAGCGGTCCATGGCCAGTTGGTTGGGGACCCCTGAGTTTGAGTATGATTTGATATGGGCAAGGTGTAACCAGTTAGTTGAGTGCTTTTGATAATGTTAACCGGTCATGCTAGTCATTTTTAAAATATGTGCAACTATCATAGGGTAGGCCATTCAAGAATTAATGCTTAAGTGAGAACAACAATTTCACTTTTGTTTTTGAGATGAGGTCTCACTCTGTTGCCCAGGCTGGAGTGTGGTGGCATGATCATGGCTCACTGCAGCCTCAACCACTCCAGCTCAAGTGATCCTCCTTCTGCCTCAGCCACCCAATTAGCTGAGACCACAGGCATGCACCACAACACGCAGCTAATTTTTATTGTTATTTGTAGAGATGAGGTCTTGCTAGTTTGCTCAGGCTGGTCTTGAAAGCCTAGGCTCAAGTGATCCTCCCACCTTGGCCTCCCAAAGGGCTGGGATTACAGGCATAAGCCACCATACCCAGCCTTCTATTTTTAAAATAATAATGAGAGATACTTTGACATGACCAAGAAACATTATTCACCATTTTGAGAGTATCATCTCTGTAGCCTTTTACTGCATCATTAAGGGAAGTGTTTTTGCTAAAATTTCTTGTAGTAAATGCAGATTTGCCTACTCTACTGTATCCTTCCTTTTGTTGGGATTTAAGCTTGATCTCTGAAGCTAACACATTCGTGGTGTTTTTAAATAGTGACCTTGAACAACTGAACCTCGATTTTGTGATTTGACTCAACATTGAACCAACAGAGAGAGTCTCTTCCAATGCAGTGAGTTAATGTTTATGTTGGGTGAGGTTTTATGTAATCAAAAATCATAATCTATGGAATTAAATGTCCAAGCAGTATAATATATAATCTATTATATAGAGATGAGATCTCACTCTGTTGCCCAGGCTGGAGTGTGGTGGTATGAAATTAAATGTACAAACAGCATAATATGTAATCTATTTTCAACTCGATTATTCCAAAACAAAGGTGCTGCATATTTTATACTGGTCAATGAAATGGTTCTCAGTTGGGGGTGATTTTTTTCACTCTGGAAGATATTTGGCATTGTCTGTAGATATATTTGCTTGCCAAGACTGGGAAGGTGCTATAGAATCCAGTTACTTGAGGCAAAGGATGCTGCTAAGCACCTTACAATGCACAGAACAGCCCCAGTAACAAAGAATTATCTAGCACAAAATGTCAATAATGCTGAGGCTGAGAAACCTTGATTTAAAAAATGTACCGTTTGCAGAATTGTTTTTTAAATTTAAGCAGATTAGACCAAGGAATTTAGGACAAGTTTGCATTTCTTCTTAAGGGTAAAATGTATTTATGCACTGCATAACATTACCTATCTGGCTTTCAAATTCTTTAATAATAATTGTGGTCAATTTGTTTAGCAAAGCTGGACTATCCTTCCGAGTTCTTTCTTGCATAGTTATGGATTAGCATGAACCACAAGAGACATTTGCATGAGATGTGGAAGTCAGAAATAAAATAGTAATCACCTTGCTTTTTAGGCTCAAAGTCGTATAGCAGGATTTGAGGTACCAGTGCAGTTCATTCAAGTTGTGCATGTCTGATGAAACACATGGTTGGCCTGGGGCAGCAACTGAGCTTGCAGCAATGAAAGTTCCTCTGGATCCTTTTTCAGTTTCTTTGGATTCTGGGCTATATGCATGTTACTCTATGAGGAAAAGTAGACATGTTTTCATTTCTCTTGGTTATACACATAGAAATGGAATTGCTATGGTCATTCTATGTTTAGATTTTTGAGAAACCTCCAAACCATTTTCCAAAAAAGCTGTATCATTCTAAATTTTCACCAGCAATATGATAGTTTTGTCTGGTAAGATATTGAAAAAATTTTGCAGGTCTTGAATCTCAAAGGCTTGTCTGTTTTCAGACATGTGCTAATAAAAAGCTTGCCTAATCTTTCTGAGTATATAGAATATTCATGTTAAATGCTCAGGCTCTGGAGTCAGAGCTAGAAATGGAATCAATCCTGCATGCCATTTATCAGATGTCTCACTTAAGCCAAGTGTATAGCCTCTCAACCCCAGCTTCCTTCTCTGTAAGAGGGGCATTCTAACAGTACCAGTCTCAAAGAGATTTTTATGAAGACTGAGCCCCATAGTGCCCATTAAGCATATGCCAGGTACAGGGTACATAAATAGCAGTGGCTATTTGTATTTAATCACATCTTATGCACCCAAATTAAGGAAAAACCCAGTTTTTGAAAACTAAAATAGAGTAATCTGATCTTGTTTTAAAAAATGTTTAAATTTGGAGATGATTTGCATAATCAAAGAGACCTATAAACAGGGGGCTCCATTTAGAATACAGATGCTGTATGATATATTTCAGGAACATTAAACTCTTGCAAAAATTTTATCTCCAACTTACTGTTTGAGAGCCATTGAGAGAGTCACATCCTATCATCTGGAACTCAATACACTGAGGGAGCAGAGTAGTAGCCATTTTTTAAGGTCTTTTTAGTTCTTTGGTATTATATTAAAACCTACTTGTTAGGTAGATATGGGGGCATAGGAAGAGAACTAGAAAGCTGAAGGGTTGGGAGATATTGCCAACTGAGAATCAATCAGAAGAACAGATAAAGTGTGTCAGGAATTTTAATGGAAGTCAATTTGGCTTTTGTACACACATTGATTTTACAAGATGAGGCATGCTGTAATGTTATTTAATTACTTGCCACACACTTCAGAGGAAATATATAACAAATATCATTTTAATGTGAAATGACAATTTTAGTAATTTAAATGTTGACCATGTGGTTTCTCCATGACATGGGAGAATGATTAATGGACATGCTTCTTCAGAGGAAAGGAAAGAGAATGGGGGCTCTACCATCCCTGTCTTCTGCCATCTTAAAATGTCTGTCCTTCTCTGTTTGCTTGGAAAACATTGCTTCTCGTTTGTAAGTGTAGGTGCATACATGACAAATCAGAGGGGCTTGGAATGAAATAAAGCATCTAGAAATATTTTAGAGATGGACAGTACATTAGTCAGAGCTCTTGGTTGTAAACTCAAACTAGCTTAAGAAATACAAAGAATTTATTAATTCAGTTTTTTTTGTGTGTGTTTGTGTTCATGTGTGTGTGTGTGTGTGTTTTAAAAACCAAGGAATACATTACTTTAAGCACAGGTGAACCAGGCATTCAAATGATGTGAATTATGTTATTAGGTCTCGTCCCCCATTCCCAGTATATTTTAGTTCTGCTTTCTCTGTTGCTTTATTCTCAAGCTGGCTCTTTCCATGTAATGCATTTGCCTCAGCTGAGTACTGCACCCATCACTAAACCAATTTCTGTGACTTTACCTCTCCAGGCTGGGGTTCAGCCTTCTCTAAAGCTGAAGATAAAGGTTAACCTGTCTCTCCTCCCTCATACAACAGCAGAAATTACATGATTTGAGAGTGGATTCTATTGGCAGGAGACATGAGTGTGGAGCAGTTAAAGACTAGGTTTACTGCAGAGAACTATATATAAAACCTCCAACCTTTATTTTACTTTTAAATTGGCTTTAATATGCTTTCAAATATAAGGTGAAATTACTTTCTCAAGGTTGTACACTGATGGGGGAGGTGGTGTCTTAGTCTGTGTTTTGTGTTGCTATGACAGACTACCTGAGACTGGGTAATTTATATGGAAAGAGTTTTAGTTCATAGTTCTGGTGGCTAGAAAGGTCAAAATTGAGCATCTGCATCTGGTGAGGGCCTCAGCCTACTTCAGCTCTTGGTAGACAGTTGCTGGCATGTGTAAAGAGCTCACATGGCAAGAAAGGAAGCAAGAGTGAACCCAAGGAAGCCAGACTCTAACAACCACTCCCTCAGGAACTAATCCAGTCCTATGAGAACACACGCACCTCAGTGGGAGGGCATTAATCTATTTGTAAAGGATCTTCCTGCATGATTCAAACACCTCCCACTAGACCAGGGCTCCCAACACTGCCACATTGAGGATCAAATTTCAACATGAGATTTGGTGGAGACAAACAAACCATATCTAAACCACAGCAGATGGGAAGCAAACCTACCTGTGGTCTCCAATCTAGAGGTATTTCTACCATACCCTGCTACCTCCAACCAGACAATTAAAGAAACATTTTTTTTTTTATTTCCAAGGAAGTACTGATAATTTAGAGTGTATGAGATAAGAATGATAAAAATCATCGGAGGCCTGGAAAACATAGTGTGCAAGGAGTAATAAAACCAACCGAAGGTGTTTACTTAAGACAAAAGACTGGAAGATGTTGGACCTATGGGGGGAAAATATAGTTGGACATCACTGTTGGAAGGACACACTAGGGTATCATGATTCCCAATGGGTAAACTCTACAGAAAGATTGTGGCTTCCCAAAAAGATCTGCAGGCAGACCTATTGAGCACCAAAATGGAATTCCTCAAGAGCCAGTGAATGTGCAGTTGGGAGAGATGTTCTAGAAAACCTGGGTGAACATTTACCAGGAATTCTATGCAATAGCACTGTCTAAAAGAAAAACAATGCAAGTCACATACATAATTGTAAGTGTTCTAGTAGCCACATTAATGAGTAAAAAGAAATGGGTAAAATTAATCTTAGTAACAGATTTAACTCAATATATTTAAAATATTATCACATCTATGTATAATCAATATAACATATTTTTAATGGAATTTTGCTTTGTTTTTTTTTTCCAATACTAAATCTTCAAAGTCCAGCATGTCCTTTATACTTGTAGACAGGCAGCTTGCCTAGCTGCATGTCAAGTGCTCCATAGCCATAGGTCGCTACTGCGTAGGCTAGTACAGCCATAGAGGGCATTATTGCATGGAAATCTGTGGTCCACGGGAGGACACTTTAACCTTCGAAGTCCCTCTCAAATCGGTGTCTGAATCTGTAAGAGGAACAGCTATGGTCACATCATCCTCTTCTTGAAAACCTTTAGTGGCTTTCTGGTATCTGAAGAAAAATATTATACTCTCTGAGCCTTCTAATTCTGTATCTACTAGATTGTTAGGGCCAAGGACTATGTCATATTCATCTTTTTCTCCAGGATTAAATACAGCATTGGTAATATTGAAAGTACTAAATATCTAATAAATATAGATATATAGATAGTTGTTGTTATATACATTTGTTGTTGTTGTTGAATGGATGACCTGGAATTTACCTTGCCTTCCAGCTATCTCCCTATTCTCTTTTCACAAACCCTATATTATACACAAATGCACTTCACATTCTCTTACCCTCTTTCCAATGGAAATGGCTCTCCTAACATCATTATTCAGAAGGAAGGAAGTGATCTGTCCCTAGATCATCTTTAAACTTTGACATATTAGCCAAAGGTAAATCTCATTTAGAATAGGGACTCCCAAACTGATGAGGTGTTTGATAGCCTTGAGCTTTCTCACTCTGAATGTCTCAGTTTCAATTCTTGCTTACACCTGATCATGTTGACCAAGCCCAGGTCCAGTATAAGAAGACCTCTCACTTGACCTTAAAGCATAAGTTGAGACTGGATGGTCTCTCAAAATATCTTCTCTTGCATTGTGAGGAGGTAAGAACACTTGCTCAAGTAGAAAGGTGAGTTGAATTTCACATCTTGGGGATTTAGATTTTATTTTAACTTCATCTAGACTGTATGACCTTGAATGTGGCCATTAACCACCATAGGCCTCAGTTTCTCTATTCAAATGGATTCTAATGATAATGGATTATAATGATAGCTATTCCAACGACTGATCAAATAAGGAACATGACCAGTTTGTATTATCTTGACAATACATTGCTGTGGTTGAATGCCAGCTCTCCAATCACATTGCTTGGGTTCACATCTTTCTTTTTAGTTGAATGATTGGCTTATAATAAGTTACTAAACCTCTGAGTCTCAGTCACACCACTTTTTAAGTAGGGAATTATAGGTTTGTTGTAAGAATTAACAGAGAATGGCTATAAATGCTTAGACTTTATAAGCGTTATGTTAAACATTTGCTGTGTTTTGTTACTATCAGTGTGGTTGAAAGAACACGTTTTATGTGATTTGTCGCCAGTACTTTTGGACTCTGAGCCTTTCCTTCTTCATTATAAGAGAAAATCTTTACATTCATGTTGTTATTAGAGTTCTCAAGAGGATGACAAAGTGGTATATGTAAAAGAACTTTGTAAAAGATACAGTGCCATAATGCATGCATTTTAATAGAAAGACAAACATCTTTGGAATGGACAAGCTGCACACATGTTTATGAAAGACTGCAAATTCCAGGAAGACAGGTCCTCTCTGTATCTGCTCCGTACTTTATCCCCAGCGCCAAGCACTGTGCCTGGCACATAACCAGTGCTGGTTGAATAAGCATGCAGGATGATTGCCCATTTGTTATTTGGTAGAAAAGATGGAAATTACTCCTAATACAAGGAAAACATTCAGGGTCTCCTGTTATTCTTTTCTCTGAAAGCACAATCACACCATTGGAAGAGTTACCAAAATAGAAAATGAAATCATTTGAGTAAAACGCTTTCTATGTGATTAGAGACCTTTGTTTCAGATGAGCTAACACCTATTAAAACTTTTAGAGGGTACTATTTTAGAAGCCAGGTGGCATTATGCAGTCTGTGTTTGCTTATCTTTTCATTTCCCCCTTTTTTTAGTGTCTAAAACTATTTGCATAATAACAGATTTTTTGTTTTCCTGGAGTTCAGGTTTCTGACTTCGGCAACACATGAATTCAAAATCCTAGAATTGTGATGTCAAAATCATTTGTGTGGCAGTGCCTTGATGACTCTGAGCAGATTTGAGCCCAGTCTGGCTCAGAGACTGTTTTCATGCTAATACTGTTGGTGATTCATCATGTTTTTCATTTTCCTAATGGTAGTTGAGGACCTGGTTCTCTATGGCATTGGCTTTCTGATGCGTGTCTGGAATAAAGAAGGAATGGTTATAAAACAAATCTGTGAGAACAAAGACATAAGAAACTCATGAGGTAGGTTAAAAACAAGCGGGTGCAGGCAGCAGTGTACGTGTACAAGGGGGAATGGGGGACAGTTTCCACTTTTGTCCAAAGGATGTTCACTATTTATGAATAGTTTAAGTTGCTTCTTGCAGGAAGTCAAATTACAAGCAAACCTTTTAGCACTGGCAATGGCTGTAAATGAAATTTCCTCACTAGTCATCTCACTACTTCACTTATCTTGGACATTTCCTCTGCAGCATTCCTGAATGAAGGTCATTGTAATGGTTAACAAAAAAATTGAGTTTTTATAACCACCATGTCTTAGACACTGTACTATGGGTTGGGATACCACAGTGAATAAGAGACACAGTCCCTGTCCTCCTGGAGTCTATTATCTAGTGGGGCAGGTGGGCATTAGCCAAATCATCAAATGAAGAAATACGCAGAGGTTACTGTAGTATTGTGATATGAAGGCAGAATGTAAGGTACAATGGAAAAAAGGAAAGTGTGGTCCTGAATTACATCATGAGATCTAGAAAGGTTTTTCTTTTTCTTATTTTATTTTATTTTATTTTATTTTTTTGAGACGGAGTCTCGCTCTGTCGCCAAAACTGGAGTGCAGTGGTGCGATCTGTGCTCACTGCAAGCTCCACCTCCTGGGTTCACGCCGTTCTCCTGCCTCAGCATCCCGGGTAGCTGGGACTACAGGCGCCCGCCACCACGCCCGGCTAACTTTTTGTATTTTTTAGTAGAGACGGGGTTTCACCGTGTTAGCTAGGATGGTCTCCATCTCCTGATATGGTGATCCGCCCGCCTGGGCCTCCCAAAGTGCTGGGATTTCAGACGTGAGCCACCGCGCCCGGCCTAGAAAGGTTTTTCTAAAAACCCAAGTCTCTTGAAGCCAGACAAAGAGTAGAGGGTGGAACCTTCCATAAAGGCAGATGGTCCTACTAGAAGTACCTGGCATAAGCGTGTGTCACTGACCAGGAAGAGGAAGACCCTCATAGCTGAAAAGCGGACAGAAACTGGGGATCAGAGAATCAAATGTGGCTGCAGAGTTAGGCACAGGCTAGATGGTACAGAGTCTTGCAAATCATGGTTAGGACTTAGGAATTTTATCCTAAATGCAGTGGGGAATCACTGGAGGGGGTTAAGCAAGGGAATGGTCATGTTATAAAGAAAGTTTAGCTGATTGAATGCCACCCATCATTATATTCACCTGGTAGGTTCTCCATCATCTCCCTCCCCCATTGTGTTGTAGAATGAGGATTCTCAGCCCCCGCCCGCCTCCCTCCCCGACTTTTTTTTTTTTTTTTTTTTTTTTTTTTGAGCCAGGCCAGGGTAGTATAATGAACAGAGCTCAGTTCTGGAATCATACAGACTTAAAATCTGCCACATGTCAGCTGGGTGACTTTCGTAAAGTACCTTAAACTTTCTAAGCCTGAGCTTCCCCATTGGTAAAACAGGTTCTTGTAAGGATTTATTACAGCAATGTTTCTAAGGAAACCAGCATATGCAACAGATTCAGCAATGGTAACTGTATGATTAGGTTTGACCTGCAGGCCTAAAGAAATCATCTCACACATCAGCCTCCTGGTGGTATCTGGCATAGGATGATCTATCTATGCCCTTAGAACAGAATTGTAAACTGTCAAAGGTTCTGAGCCCCCCCACCCCCGAAATGCAGGTTGGATCTCTTCTCCAGGCCTCTCCTCCCAGCCAATTTGTATTGCCTTTCTCTCTTCCCACCCCAAGATGGACTTGGAGTCTCCATGTGGGTCTCTTTTATTCTGTTTCTCATATCCTCGAGTGTGGTGTCTTTGTTTTTCCCACATGTTCTTAGTATTCTGTCTGTCCCGCTGCCTCCTTCTTTCCCCTCTTTTCCTTACTCTTCCCTTCCCCTCCATTCTCTCTTAACTTCTACGTGGAGTGAGAATTCTGGACCATGCTGACAGTCATGCTCACCTGTTGCTCATCTGTATACAGAAGAGGTGGAGAGTTGCATTATTCCCACTTCAAATTACTATGTGCAGCTCTTAAATGGCCTGTCTTTTGCTTTGATCCATACCCTATTGAATGATAGCTTCACTGAAACCAAAATAAGTTTATTTTTTTCCAGTTGTTTCACAATACATGATATACACTTGTTTCCTTGAAGAAAATAAATTTTACTCCATAAATGCACAAAGTAGAAGTTACTTGATTCCTCTTCTTTTGAACTTAAGATGGCTATATTAGAGAAATAGTAATATTTTTATTTTTCAAAAAATACTGTTAAATGTTACAGAAGATACAAAAGACATAATTCCTTAAGGAATTTACATTTTAACAGAGATAGACACCACATATATAACCATCAAAATAATCATGTTATTATAATTATGAGAAGTGCTATGAGGAAGCCATAACAGGTGAATCCAGCCCCACAAGAGGTCAGGAAATGTTTAATTTGGGAAGTACTACTTTATGTAAATTAAGAATGAGTATAACATAGCTCAAAGAAATGGCACTTACAATGCCCAAAGTGGGTGAGACTTAAGCCTGTGTTAATAAGAAAGAAGGTGCAGTGGGTTTTAGATTTGAAATGTGGTGATCTAGGAGAAAAGATTAGTGTCATGAAAAGAGGCTGTGGAAGGAGGCTGGACAATGGCTTCATAAGACTTCTTATGTAACATCAGTGCTATCAAGGCTACACTGGTGACTGAGGGCTAACCACCTAAGGGTCTCTAAGGGATACAGTGAATATTAATCTGAGAATTGATTCATTATGGCAGCAAAGCTTCTATAACCCTCTCTGTCAGCCATGGAAGCATAATTAGGAGAGATTGTTGAATGGAGAATGAGAGAGCTTGTGTTCCTAGAGATCTGATATTATTTGAACCCAAGAAAGCAAAAGCCCAAAAGCTGATTGAAAACAATAATAATAATGTGCATTTAAAAAATAAAGGGATAAACTACATGAGCAGCTGGAGAGAAAGTTTAAGTTTCTATGGAAACCTCTCCTAAAATGTCTTCCTCAGGCAGTGGAGCCAACTTCTGAAATGCCAGAGAGAAGTAGAATACGGGCTGAAGAAATCCTCATTGGTCTGTTACACTGAGTGCACCACTGGTAGCTGGAAGGGGAGAACTTTGAAATGAGTCAAGGGTTCCTCACCTGGCATTTCTCTTCAGGTGACTGGGTGAAGGCAGGTGGGGATGTGGGAGTGATACCCAGTACTTTCTTGCAAGGGGCTAAGGCAAGAATGACCCAAATATGAAATCATATTTGAAACAAAAAAGAAAGAAAACAAAATTTTTCTTACTGTTCAGCAACCAGGAAATGGTGTATTTGATGAAATGGTGACTTGATGAAATAGTCATGTACTTGGAACCCTCTTCTGCTTAAAGCCCTATGAGACATGGATCCTGCCTACCTCTCTCATTTTATTTTGTGTAATTCTCTCTCCTCTCTCAGCTCCCTAGCTCTTTCCACTATTCCTCAAAGAAACAGCCTGGGTTTCTCCTTCAGTATTTGAACTTGCCCCTCCTTTGCTCGTGCTGCTTTCCTCACTCAGGTCTGTGTCTTGTTGCTCTTCCTCCCGTGTCAGGCCTTGTGGTCTCACAGGCCCTTCCTTGCCTTTCTAATACAGCTCCCCATCTTTCCCACCACATCCTGTCTCTGTTACATCCTCTGGTTATTTCATGTATACCATCTCCCAAGAGCTGCTTTTAATTTGTATACCTGTTGATAGGCTGCCTCTTCTCAGAGCATAAGCTCTGTGAGAGCAGAGGGAGCCAGGCTTCCTGGGAGCCCCAGGTCTGAGAAAAGTGTCTAGCATAGAGAAGATGCTCAGTAAGTATCGAATGAGATTCTTACTCTCAGGAAGCTTGTGACACAGTAATGATGATTACAGGACACACACACTTGACGCTAGATAACATTAACGCAGCACTGGATGTCAAGGGTTAACCAATCTCCCTGTCATCAGGGAGAAATCTCTACTTAGAGTTTCCTAATAAGAATAACAGGATAAAACTCTATTAGAACCAACAATAACAAGCTGTAGTTATTGGGTAATTTCTTTATGCTAGGCTTTAGTAGGTATTTTACATTCCTTCTCTACCTGTACAACAACCTCTGAAGTAGGCCTTAGGATCTCAATTTTCTGGTTAGGAAACGGAGAGGCTAAGCTTATGAAATTGGACTTTGAACTAAGGTTGTTCTAATTCTTAACTCTAGGTATATATTATTTTGGGGTCTCCTGGCTCTGGGATTAAAAGCGCCTAGGCTATCAGGTGTGGTGTGGTTAGGGTAAGACATGATGGGCGTAAGGTTGGCTGAGTGGGATTGGACAAGATGCCATAAGATCTTTAAATTTCAAAATTAGTTAAAATTTAATAAATATGTTGTATGCATTTCTAGATCTTTGAATCATATTAGCCTACCTTAACTTAAATGTATGTCTGTGGAAGGCTTGGAAATTTGTAGAGTTCATACACAGTCCATCTCCCTTTTCATACACAGGTAGTACCATACCCATTTTTGAAAAGAGGCAACTGTGTCTCAAAGGATAATTCTCTAGCTAAGGCCACATACAGTGCAGATTCTAGAACCCAATACCAAGACTCTTCATATTACATTATTTTCTTCATGTGAATAGTTCTTGGTGTTAACAATAATTATTCATATTGACCTAAATTACTATTCTGTACCTTTCTTTGTTTATAGTTAAAACTTAAGGAGAAAAATCATGATTCTTTTCCATGAAATAGATGCAGATGTCACAATGATTCTTCAAAGCATGAGTAAATTTTGCAAAAAACAAAAATCTTATACTATTTTCTTTCCCCCAATCATTACAGTCTATTGAATTTAATCCTTTTGTCAAAGTATTTTTAGAGGGGGAAAAACACTAATTGTATTATGTTTTCTATAAATGACAGTCAACATAAAAACTTCCCCATTTTATCATAAATTACTGAGTCATTCTTCTCAATGCTTACTTTTATGATATTGGTAAGTCATATAGCCTATGAGCCACCATTCATATTCATGCATTCATTCTCTCTCTCAACCTTCTTCCTCCCTTTCCTCTTCCCAGACCTTTTCCAACATTAACGGTATTAATACCTTTCAGCCTACTTCTGGAATTTATTCTGGAATATTATGTTTTTATTCTGTTTTGCTATTTTTATTAGCCAGGGTATAGCCCTTCAGATGGGGTATGAATTCTCCAGTCTTCTAGAACCCCCAGCCACATCTCATTGTCTCCTTGATACCACGATCCATGATCAACTTCCATTTATCATTGTGTCTGACCTGTTTTTCCTACTGTGAAAATGAAAGACAAAGAAGGCTGCCATGTTTCCAAAAAGTGACAAAGAATACTTATTTGTGGAAGAATATTTGTGTGTTTAAAATTCCAGCAAAGTTTATCTCACTTCCCTCATACCTGGCCTACTTCATTCATTTGCTTTGCTTGCCTACCTCCTGAAAATAGTTGATTTTTTACTCCCGTCCCCCAACACAGTATTTCCACCTTGATCACCATTTTCTTTGGAGTGGATATACATCTAGTCTGCTATATTTAGTCTCCGACCCCTGAAAAAGTGTCCTTTTAACTGCATCATGGCTCATTGCCTCCATATTTCCCTTCTGGGTTGGGGGGTGTCTACTTCAATCTCAAGCTCTGGGGCACTTATTCCACATCATTTCATCCCTGCCTCTCTAAGTAATAGAATGTAGGCCTCTGTCTTTTCTGGAGACTGGCAGAGAAACTTTCTCCCTCCTCTTCTCTCACCTTTGACTCTCTCAGGAATTCTTCCGCATCCATGCAGCTCTCCTGCCTGGCCTCCAGGTCTGCAGATGCCCACTTGTGACTTTCAATACTCTAAATTTTCTAAATCTGTGATTTGTAGGAGTCGAGCAGTGGCTATGAAACGTACTATAACAAAAGTACCTTGGTAGAAAACTTGATCATTTAGAATGCGTCAAGAGAATCTGAAATGCTAGATATATTCCCCAACAATTATTTTCTTTGGGTTTGGAAACTGAATGGTATGTATGTTGTTTCTCCTTTTCTTGACCTTTTTTTTTTTTTTTTTTTTTTTTTTTACCATACCATGCCTAATACTTCTGCAATCAGAAAACAAAACTGATTGAAAAAAATTAAAAGTACTCTGTGTGATCTCATTTGAATGTTATTAACAAAGATTCTAGGTTAGCACATAAGGGGTAGAACATGAAGCAAAGGCAAGACATTTTGATTCCCCTCCTCCCCCTGACCTATACCCTCTTGTTGGACCCTGACTCATTGGCTAGAAGACTGACTTCTTACATTGCTGTTTTGTGTGACGTTCTGGGCTTTTGTACTTTAGATCCAGAATACGTTTCTAGCACTGAAGCAAGAAAATTTAAGTGCCTGTTTTCTTTGCTTTCTGCATTCCCTGGAGGTAGAGTGGAATAGTTCTGCAGCCAGGTAGGTAACATGCCTGAGTGGAGGGGGGGTGGGTAAGACAAGGTGAAGGGACTGGTGTGAGCTGGGTAGCGTAGACTGTGTCTGAAGAGAGCAGTCAGCATGGCTCTCGTAGGTGCCAGCAGGAATGCAGGGCTAGTCCAACCTTGTTTTATGACTTTCAATGTGATAATGTGGGTCAGAAATAAGAGATTCCCTGATTATTTTTACATGTTGCATTCATAAGCAGCAGTGTGTGTGACCCCTGGTACAGTGTGGAAAGGGTTTACTCACTGCCAGCCATATGTCTTCATAAGTCATTTAGTTTTTCTAGGCCTTGTTTCCAACCAGTTGGGAAGGGAAAAAAGAAAAAACAATGGTACTTGCCTGGCAAAGTTAACATGGGGTGGTGTGGAGTCAGAGGGTAATACATTCAAATAAATAACCATTTATTGACTAAATCTGTTGGAGTTAGCTAGATGACTAAAGGAAACTAAGTCAGAGTTCTTAGTTGCAAACAGCAGGAACCAATTCTCACCTTTTATTGGGAAATAAATTAGTAAGAAGACATAAATCTTTAGGAAGGCGGAAGAAGCAGGTGCAGAGACTGCAGCCAGAAGCATCATCTAAGATTGCGCAGTGAGGTTGGTTCAGATGTTACTGTCACTGGGCACCAGATGCCTCAAGTTGTACTGTTGAAAACAGCAATCCTGCACACTACCCCTATAAACACAGTGAATACTTTTGTCACTGTTTGCGGAATGGCCCCACTTTTTCTCATCACTAATGTTTAGTTTAACATTTGGTGCTGATGGTTCTGTTTGGCAGAGCCTGGGTCTCATCCCCACATCCTAGCCAAGAGACAGGCTGAGAAGCAGACCATCTGGCCTTTTAGCCCCTATGGAGGGACACAGGTTGATTTGGTACAGTACAGGATTCCCTAATATAAGGAGATTTAGACATTGAATGCCAAAAGAAAGACTGTCCTCTAGAGTTTCCATCTTCAACAAATTTACTGTCTAATTGAAAATAGATGATGTTTTAAATATGCTATACAATTACAACTCAAAACCATTATATACTACTAGAGTTTGTATTAGTATTAGTAAACTCAGCTCACTACTGAGTTTGCCTAGAAAGATTACCCTGTGGAGAAGCTGTCACCAGATTTTCTCTTGGGACACCCAGTTCCTTCCTGGTGCCCTTTGCTCTGATTTTTCCTTTTGTCTCTGGTTTTTCCTCATATGGAAGTACTGAGAAGACCAGAATGCTGTGATCATCTCTAAGAATAGGAAGCTAAAAATACCCTGGGGGAGAAGTCAGGCTCCCTCCTAGCTGTAGAGAGCCAGACAATCTGCGATCCATCTTCACCATCTACCCTTCATTTCCACACCTTTGTCTTTCCCTGGAGCATTGGGAGTGATGACACTGTTTCAAATGTTTGCAAATTAATGAGTGAGCACTCAGACTCCCCACTGGCTTATGATCTTACTCTTATATTCCATGCTGCCGTGAAAAGTTGGGATTGAACACGAGATGGACTCTAAGCTTCCCTTCTAGCTGCCACAGAAATCTCATGACATCTCAACAGTCCCCTAAAAGATTATGACTTCCTCGAAGGCAGGAATTATGTCTTTATCATTTTTATCCCCAGAGACTAACACCATGTGTGGTGCATTATTGGCAGCCAAATATTTGTAAAATGAATAAAAATGCACTAGCTTTTTTTTTTTCAAAAATCACTTGCAAGTGAAAGAAACTCAACCAAACTACGTGAAGCTAAAGGAGGCCTTAAGTGGAACACATAACTGAAATCTCAGGGTGCTTTCTGGCCCAGGTGGGCCCAGGAGGTCTCTGGTCTCTCCCCATTTGCTGAGTCTTCTCTACAGAATTGTACTTTCTCATACATGCTTTTCCTGAATTTCCTAACAACTCCAAGCTTAGCAACTCCAGGCAAAAAAGTATTTTATCCCCAGTACTTTCAGAAAATAACTAAGACTTAATGTAATTGAAAAGCTGGAACTGCAGACTGACCCTGCCAATGAGGCTATTGGGATGGGCTAAGGATGGGCTTGGTCTGCACCATAGCATCACCCTTGGAGTCTGGGTGGAATTGATTTCCTAAAGTGAAGGTGAAGTATTATTACCAGTAGGCAGGAGAATAGATGCTGGGTATGTTGGGTTGGATGGTAGTGCCTCAAAAGATGTGTCTACTCAAACCTGTGAATATGGCTTTATTTAGAAAAGGGGCCCCTGAAGATGTAATTAAGCTAAGGACTTCAGAATGAGATGAAATTTAGGGTGGGCCCTGAATCCAATGAAAGGGTGTCCTTAGAAGGGGAGAAGACACACAAGACCATGTGAAGAAGGAAGCACAGATTGGAGTGATGCATCTATATGCCACAGAATGCAAAGGGTTGCTGGCAACCACCAGAAGCTAGGAGAGAGGCATGGAACAGATCCTCCTTCAGAGACTCCAGAAGGAAGCAACCCAACCCTGCTGATGTCTTGATTTTTTTTTTTTTTAAAGATGCCTGGCTCCAAAACTGTGAGATAATACTTTTTTTGTGGTTTTAAGCTACCAACTTATAATTTGTCCTGGCAGTCCCGGAAAACAAATATACTGGGGAAGTAAAACAGCTGAGGTTTACTGCAATAACCATGTGTGGGTTACTCTGGTCTGGAGTGTTACTCTATTTGTCACATAATTGCTAAGAGAGCAAGCTGGGGTTTGCACTTACTTTTAGCTTGCCTCTACTTTGCTCTTAAGCCAGTCCATCAGGAATTCAGCTGTGCTGTCAGCCTTTTTGGATACACCTTCTTTAACATACAGTATTGGATTTATGCTACCCATTTCATCAATGCTAAAAAAAAAAAAAAAAAAAAAAGGTTGGTGGTGGGGCACAGGACTGAGACGTCTGTGTAGCAGCAGCCACATGGCTCACCGCTGCCAGGATGAGGTTACTCTTTCCTCTGCACCATGATGTTTCTCAACTATCCATGGCTCCCACAGTAAAGAAACAACTTCGCCTCAGGATAACCTGGACTGCAGTTGCTATTACGTGGTTAAAGAGTTCCTGTGCTATTTCTCCAATGCCTGGCACTATGACAGCTGGACTTTTTATTTTTATTTTTAATTAAGAGAGAAACTCAGAATGCTACTAGCTGTTGTGTGAATGTTTTGCAGGGTGTTGGGGGTTGGTGTGGGGGTTGCATTTTTTTTTTTTTTGAGTTTTTTCCTTTTCCTAAGAATAGGAAGCATCTAATCCCTGTGCTGATTCTTACAAGTGTGTTATTTTTCCAGCTCATTAGCTGCATTTGTTTCCTTCTCCCAGGCCACAAGCAACCCTGATGGTGGGGCGGATGCTGGCACAACTTGTCAGAGGCTGGCAGCTGGTGTGCAGACCAAAGCCTAGTGAACCTGGGGCCTAAATGTCAACGTGTGGCTATCAGGACAGGAATAAAGGCATTGATGTAACACTGGTTTTTGTTTTGTGTGTGTGTTTTTCTGAAGGGCAAGGTGGATATACTAAAAAATGAATTTTAAAAACATTAAGCCCTAATCCCACCTTCAGAACAAGTGGCTTTTCAAAATAACTAAAAGGGTAGAACTGGAATGTTTCTAACACAAAGAAATGATAAATGCTTGAGGCGATAGACATCCCAAATACCCTGATTTGATCATGACAATATTGTATGTTTGTATCAATATTTCACATGTACTCCATAAATATATGCAACTATTATGTATCCATAATAATTAAAGATAAATCAATATTTTAAAGTTCCTCATTTGTTTTAGATCCTTCGTTTAAAAAAACTGAGAAAAAAGGAGTTGCTTTTTTTCCCTCCTGGCTAGTGTAAAAACTAACACACATTTACCTTTCAATTAAAATCTCAAGACCCTTTGCATGTGGTACATGCACCAAATGCATACATTAGAACTGAATTATGGAAAAACACAAGAGAATGACATTGATTTATGCACTTCCATTAGATAGAGTGTTAGTTAACAATTCAAAACAAACAGATACCTTAAGTCTGTCAAGAAAAGAGCATTTTAGTTGAAGAGCAAAGACAAATAAAACTGCATTTTTAAAGCATAACTGCATTACGTTGACTTGGAGTATGGGTGTTGAGTAAGAGTACAAGCCAAAACAGTGGTCACGTTAGTCTGGTGCTGCCCATATCACCCCAGCCCTTCAGCTTTCCATAGCTGTGACAAGGCCAAATTCTTTAAAAGACTTTATGTGTGATTCCTACCCTTCTTCCTTCTTCCTTCTCTCCATTCTCTACTTTTGTCTTTCTTTTCCTTTCTACTCTTACCTTCTATAAAAGTGACCTTTTAGAAAATATTGAGTTACTTTTACAAGTCAGAAAACCTGAATAAAAAGCAAATATTACTTTGGGGGACCGGGGCGGGGGGAAGATGAATTTGCAAGTTTGAATTAACTTTTGGGTTTTTATGTCTTTCGTGTTTTCTGTTTTAAAGCAGCATTTTCTTTTAAGTGCTGTACTATCTTGAACTAGCTGCTTATGAAGCACTTCTTAGTAGAACTCGGTGTGGCTTTGATTTAATGAAGACATTAAGTCCTTTTTAATAACAACTTCTTTTCAGCCACAGGTGCTAACACTCTGACTCATTAATGGTAGAAGCTCCTGAATGAGATTATTTGGAAGACATGAGGCAGGTGGCTGAGTGACCTCGGAAGTCACTGAACCTATCTAGGCCCCTTTTACTTTCTGCAAAATAGGGTGCTGCACCATATGAGGTCTCTTAGGGCTCAGAAATTCTACAGTTCTATGACTTGAGTTATTCTAATGGTTATTAGTAATAAAAATAATAGCTCCAATTTACTAAACACTAGCTAGAAATTGTGCTAAGTATCTGGCAGTTCCTATTCAATCTAATCATCATACCATGCCTAGTAATTAAGAAAGTACTCTTATAATCCCCGTTTTACACATGAGAAGACTGAGGCTTAAGGAAGTTAACCAGCAGGTCATTCTTCCTTAAGTTCGTGTTCTTTGCAGCTGCACTATATTGTAAGTTTCATTCTAGCTTATGTTCAACTTATCAAATGGGATTTAAATTAATGAGATTTTACTGAACTCGGGAACATTTCTCTTTTAATGTCTTCCCATCCATCCTGCTAATTAGTCTTATAATTTTAGGCTCAGAGGATTTCATCCTGCTTGACTTAGAGGGATGAGAGATGGTGAAAAGGGCACAGCATCTGAAATGCTTATTTTGACCTTTCCCATCAGGATCTTTACTCATAAATTCCTCTACATTAGACAGGAAGGAACATCAATCCTGTTAGACTCTGTGACTCACAGGATTGTTCTCTTGTTGCAAATCCTAACATGCATGGATCCAATTCTTCCAATACACTTGTTAATGACTACATAAACTGACATCCTATTTTTGTCTCTTGATCAGGACTCCTAAGCAACTGCGCTTCTGGGCGTATATACTTAACGTACTTTTCTTTCTTGTGAAATAAAGGGAAGGATGCATTATCGGTGCAGGTGATCCATTTACTTATTTTTTCAGGAGAAAAAAATATCCTGCAGGTTGCCCTATTTAGATAGCAACATAGGTATTCAGCCTTCCCATGCTCTCTGTTGCTACTTGCTTTCTTTCTCTTACTCTCTCAGCATTTCTCTCTCCTCCTTGGGTTCCCTCCCACTCATGTTTTAAGTGTTGGCATCCTCTGCTAACATTCTAGAGAGAGGCTTTTTATTTTTTATTCCTGTGGCCTCTAGAGAAATGTGCTGCCATGGAAGGGGTGCCAGAACTTTAGCCAGGTTTATTAAGGGCAATCAGGAGCCTCCTGGAGGCTTTATGCAAAGCAGTAGGTGTTGCCTTTCAGGTTTCTTTGCTACACTGGGTTCCTTGGGGTATTTTTTCAAAGAGTCCATATGATGTGTTATTTGGATTTTTTTTTTTTAACAAAAAAAGGAAGGAAGGAAGAAAGAGTCCACACATTATCCTGGAGCATGAATTAAGCAGGACATATTTCAGTTGCCTTCAATGCTACCCAGGCTTATACCCATGATATTTTCCTTTACCCTTTTGTGAAGCCTTATTGCATGGAAGAAAAGTTGGCATTGACTCTTTTTCACTATTTTCTCATAATCTGTTCATTTGTGCATCCCCTGAGCCACTTCAAAAGCACCTTGGATTCTATAGCACAGAGGACAGCAATTAAAAAGCAAAAACAAGGACATTTATTGAGTGTCCTTAGATGCCAGACACTGTAGCCAAGTGTTACATATGCATCATTTCCTTTAATCCTAACAGTAAGTCTAACAGGTGGTACTAATAATATTCCCATTTTACCTATAGGAGGAGGGTAAAAGACAGAATTACTTTGCCCAAGGTCATACAGGTAGTAAGTGGAAGAGATGGCTAAATATAGGTCTCTGTGACTTCACAGTCAAACCTGCACCAATTTGAAGCAAATTGATCTCTTCATTAGACTTCCTGTAGAAATTAATTGGACTTCTGGTAAGTAGATACAACACTGGTTGGAGCATTATCTCCTTCCTCAAGAGGAGTAAGCGTTTTGATGCAGCTTAGGGAAATTGGTGTATCATGTACTTTTGAACACTTTGGCAATGTCAGTGAAGATGAAATGCACATACCCTGCAACCTGGCAATTGCATGGCTTAGTATTTATTCTAGAAAAACTAGCACACTGTACATGAGGAGATATGTCCAAGAATGTCTATTGCATTGTTGTCACCATGGTGAAAACTGGAAGCAATTTAAGTGTCCATCAATCAGTGAACGGATTAATGAATTGTGGTACCTTCATGTATATAATCATATATAATGTTTGTAAGTGAACTAGGTCTGCATGAGTCAACACAGGTAAGACCCAAATGTTGTATTGAAAAAGCAAGTGGTAAAAAGATGCAGCCCTTATGAAACATTTTAAAGTACAAAAAATATTACATTAAATGTCTATTATATATGCCTACACACATAAATAGTAAGCATAAGAACATGGGTAGGAGGAATACACACCTACTTCAGGGTTTGTTTTCTCCAGGGAGGGAAAGAATGGGATGGGGAATGGTGGTGGTAGAGAGGGGCATTTCACTGTCTTTGTAACACACTTTTTTTCTAGTAAAAATTCTGAAAAAAAAAAAAAAAAAAAAAAAAAAAAGGGAAAATGTTAGATTGTTAAGTCCAGGTAATGGACACACGAATATTTCTTACCAGTCTCATTCTCTTTACTTTTCTCTGTGTTAATGTTAGTTTATAACTATTTTTCAGTTAAAGGAAAAGTAAGAAAAAGCATCTGAAGGGTTTTTCAAAGCTGAGGTGTATGCTTGTTTGTAATTTCCCCAGACCCCCCAGTGTTTCAAGGCATCTTCCAACAGGCTCCTAAGTACTTCATGTGGGTGCTAAATGTAAGGGGCAGGTAGCTGAGTCTTCTCACCCTTCCAGATAATTTTCCAGCCACTTGTTCACTTCAGCGCCAGCCTGGATGGCTCCCCACAGTGAACCTGCTAATGTTTTCCTCATCTAACTTTAAGAGGCAAAGGTTGTTATCACTCCTGAGGGGCAGAAAAGTCAACCACCAGTTCATTTCTCTTGATGTCTAGGCTAAATGGTGTTGCTCTTCTGCCAACTCTAAAGTGCTTGGGTGATCCTAAGAGAAATGTGCCATTACCATGCAGAATCAGGGAGAGCATTTTGTGGTTCTGTCCACTAAACCCCTGAAGTTCTCACTGACCCTCTGTCATAGAGCCTCCCAAGCAGTGTGACTCCCTGCTTCCTGGGCTTCGCACCTACCAGGGACTGTCCTCCAAACAGCGCTTTCTCTTGTACTTACACTAGTATGTCTCATGCCCATTCCAGGCAGGCCTTCATGTATTCTTAGCAATCTCCCTCATTTTGCATTTTTCTCCTCTCCTCTACCCTTTCTCCTCTCCCTCCTCTGCCCCCTCTTTTTCTGTTTCCCTCTTCTTTTTACCCTTGTCATCTCTGCCACCTTTTCTTCCCCCTCTTCTCCCTCCAGACGCCTGAGAGAAGGTCCCCAGTAGCCTTCCCAACCTCTAGATTTCCACTGATAAGAATTCAGAAAATCCTCCTCAATGAAGCACTGTAATCTTTCTGTTCTTTCCAGTTAAAAACGTTCTGAATGATACAGAAGCTTTGGCCTAGGTACTAAAAATCATGCATTTGGGGCTCTATTCAGACTTTAATAAATTCTATGACCTTGGACAAGTCAAATGAGGTGATCAAGTAGAGATAAATACTCCTTGTCTCCTTGCCAGGTGTTATGAGGATCTGAGATGGTGTTTGTAAAACAGCTGGGATAAACGGGGAGGATGATAAAAATGTCAGGTGCTGCTGCCATGGCTTCATTGTCAGGTTGACATAGGGTAATGACGGGGAGTGGGAACATTCATTGCGAACAGGGCTGAGGATGATTCATGTCAACATCTCTTGTTCTTTCGCAATAGTTGCCCTCTTCCCAGGGAAAGTACACTGGTGAAGAATCCTAAGAGTGGATCTTTGAGCTATGTATATATTAGAGCAACATTTCTTTCTTTTCTTTGACATAAACAAGGAAGAATTTCATTTATTCATGGTATATGAAGATTTTAGATCAGTGCAAGGAAAACATGTCTTCTTAATAAGTCTTTAAGTGATTCCTTTTTGCTCGTTTCCAATTCACTAAGACTTATTCAAGCAATAATCTTTACAACAGGGAGAAAAATGAGGCAATAAATGTGTAATGCAATTGATTAAGTGAAAAAAGCTGGGCCATGTGTGGAGCGTGAAGCACAGAGTTGGAGAGGGTAGGATGATTACTTAAGAAGCTGAGGTATTTTTCTTCGCTGTTCACCAGGCCCCACTGTGGATTCGAGTGGGAAAAACCAGCGTCTGCAGTTCTGATAGCTCTGCTCTGCAGCAGATGGTCTCCCAGGAAACCCTGTTATGGAGACGTAACAGGCTTTGGGTTCAGCAAACCATGTCTCTTGTTGGCTTTATTACAATGCAGGCTTTTGGGAAGTCCCATGGGCTGAGATTGAAGAGTTATGGGTTATATTCACAGGTCCGGAACTATTGCATTGTGTGAGTTGGTCTTTGCCTCTCTGGGTCTTGAATCCTCAATTTGAAAAACAGCTAGCTTGTAGAAGAGAGTCCTTTTTATAAAATTGAGGAAAATTGTGGCATGATACCTCAATGCTCGCACTGCCTATTTTTATGTTTACCTTGATTAGTAACGTACTGCTGTTAGTACTTCTATGGGCTCCCTCCCCAATCCTTAATCAAGGGAGATTTGGGGCTACTCTGTCAGAAGGGAGGACTGGAAAAACTGGCATGGTGGCATGTTACCAGACAAGGTTGAAACTGCCTCTATGAGAAGGTAAATATAGTCTGACAGAGACGAACCCCAGTTGGTAGTAATATCCAGCTGCTTGGGTGAATCAGTTTCTGAACGTGAGTGTTACCAGAAAGGGGTCCAGATCCAGACCCCAAGAGAGGACTCTTGGATCTCGCACAAGAAAGAATTCAGGGCTGCATAGTATTCCATGGTGTATATGTGCCACATTTTCTTAATCCAGTCTATCATTGATGGACATTTGGGTTGGTTCCAAGTCTTTGCTATTGTGAATAGTGCCTCAATAAACATACCTGTGCATGTGTCTTTATAGGGACCTGAATGAAGCTGGAAACCATCATTCTCAGCAAACTGTCATAAGGACAGAAAACCAAACAGTGTATGTTCTCACTCATAGGTGGGAATTGAACAATGAGATCACTTGGACACAGGGCGGGGAACAAACCCCCACACACCGGGGCCTGTCAGGGGGTGGAGGGCTGCGGGTGGGATAGCATTAGGAGAAGTACCTAATGTAAATGATGAGTCGATGGATGCAGCAAACCAACATGGCACATGTATACCTATGTATCAAACCTGTACATTGTGCACATGTACCCTAGAAATTAAAGTATAATAATTAAAAAAAAAGAGAATTCAGGGCAAGTCCATAGAGTAAAGTGAAAGCAAGTTTACTAAGAAAGTAAGGGAACAAAAGAATGTCTACTCCATAGGCAGAGCAGCCCTTAGGCTGCTGGTTACCTATTTTTATAATTATTTCTTGATTATATGCTAAACAAGGGGTGGATTATTCATGAGTTGTCCAGGAAAGGGGTAGGCAATTCCCAGAACTGAGGGTTCCTCCCCTTTTTAGACCATATAGGGTAACTTCCTGACATTGCCGTGGCATTTGTAAACTGTCATGGCGCCGGTGGGAGTGTTTTTTAGCATGCTCGTGCATTTTAGTTAGTGTATAATGAGCAATGAGGACGATCAGATGTCAACTTTTGTTACCATCTTGGTTTTGGCTGGCTTCTTTACCACAGCTTGTTTTATCAGCAAGGCATTTATGATCTGTATCTTGTGACAACTTCCTATCTCATCCTGTGACTTAAAACACCTAACCTCCTTGGAATGCAGCCTGGTAGGTCTCAGCCTTATTTTACCCAGCCCCTATTCAAGGTGGAGTTGCTCTGGTTCCAATGCCTCTGACATGAGCATTAGAGATTGAGAGAAATATGACATTTTTCAGAAGCTTTCTGTGAGTTACATCATAGAACTTCTTTTATAGTCCTTATGAGATTCAAGTTAATATTGGATTACTTCTTTGCTTGCTGAAACATACATCTTTAAATGCAATTCTGATCTTAGAGGGTCACATTAGGCCCTGGGATTTATGCAAGTCACACATAATAAGGTTTCCGTAAGAGAAGTCTGCTATTAACCTGAATCCTTCTAAATTTAAAGTGTTTTCATTGTATAGTGTTGTTTCCTTTATTTTTCTATTATGTAACTAGGTGTCTAGAAATTCAACTGTAGCACCTTAGAGGGAAATGGAATTGAGGGAAGGGAATATTAGGGATGAAGCTTACCCCAAACTTGAAAAAGAGAATTATTGGGCCAATATATTGAGATTACACAGAGCCAATTAAGAGCAAGATAGGTTTATGGCAATGAAGCCTCAAAGTTCGTGATCTGAATACTAACCAATGTGCTTCCTGAGAAAAAATCCACAAGACGGCAAGTCCCAGTTCTATCATGGAACCTTTAGCAGTTTGGAGCTATCTCAAGTAGGAGTTGAGATGACGTGAGTCCTAACAATAATTATCTATTATGAGGCTTGACAATGAAGGAAGAATTTACACAGTGGATTATCTCAGGTGGTCTTTGCATGAAGCCTGATAAAGTAGGTATTGCTATACCTCATTTGTGGTTAAAAATTTTGAGACTCGTGTAGTTTAAATGTTTCTGAGAAAAAACACATTGTGGTAATTTGGATCTCAGAATTCCTGTCTCCTAGGAAGTGTTTCTACAATGATTTCTCAGGATATGTATTCCATTTTCTCACAAATCTTGAAAATGGCCTATGTGCCAGGCACTCTGTTAGGGAAACAAAAATGAATGGCAGTTAATGTAGTAACTAAATGATCAGTTTAGTGATGCTGACAGCCATATAAAGAAATCATTTCTATCCAATGTAGCCCATGTAATAAACGAGATAGGGCCAAGGTTGGGGAGGATCCACAGGTTAAAGGAAAGCATCAGAAAAGGAGAGATGCTTGAGCAGAATTTTGAGAAATCAGTAGCAGTTGTCTAGGTGGACAGAATTTCTATGAAAAAGAAAATCTAATACTGTGTTGCTGCCTTCAAAATACCTCTTTATGCAGATTTTCCATAGCCACTATCACTACCTTTTGGTAGTATAAACATCATAACTAGAATAGGAGTGTGGTATGTGTGAAAACTGAATCCTCATTTAGTTCTTTCATCAGTTTGTTATGTTTTCCATTTAAATGTTCTATTGACTTGCTCTATCAACATCAAAAAGAAAACAGTCTTTGCCTCTCTTGTGTCCTTGAGTAATTTGCTTGCTGCCTACAGACTGGCGTCAAAATAGCCTTCAACTTGGGTTGTCTGGTCTGCATTATCTCCAGAATCTGAGGCAGGCAGCACAATCAACTTTTCTATTTATTTCCTTACTTATTTTCAAAAGAGGTTATGATAGTTATTTTCAAAATAAATATGGAGAAGTTAACTTGGATATCATGCAAACACAAAGTTTAGCTTCATGATTTTTTTTCTACATTAACTGTTTCTTGGAAATGAGAAGAAAGGATAATCTGGAGATGAGAAAGGGTTGAACATCCCTTTATCAATGCTGTCATTTGGTGAACTGTATGCATCCTGAATGAAAACAGATGGTCACAGCATCTTGTATTAAAAGAGAGATGTTCAATACAGGAAATTAACATTAATGCCTTAGAATGCTAACCTCTCATTGCTCCAATTCCTAGTCTATGTAAGATAATTCCAGGATTGATGCTTGCCTGTCTCTTCTGCCTCAGTTTCTTTCCCTTGAGAAGAGGAGGTCAAGTATCACAGGAACACTGAGGTTTGTCACACCCTCTGAGGTCTTGGGAAACAAGGTACCCTGTGAGATCAAGGTATTATTAGAAGGTAGAGTTCTCACAAAGAAAGTACATTCTCACTTGCTTCATCTGCACTCTGAGGTGAAGAACAACAGAAAAACCCCTGCTAACCCAGCATAACCCAAAACAGGCTTCCCCAACCCCCAACAGTTCTTTCTTGCTCTGCCTTCCCTCTAGGCCTCCATTCCCATCCTCTTTTTCCCTTACCCTGTCCTCATGTCCCTCCCTGCTCATGGGGACCTCTGACTTGACTTTGTCAATGTTTTACCTGCTCAGAATCTATTTCCTGGATGAAAACCACTCCTATCTCCACTCTCAAGGCTTGTATTTCAGATAAGGGAAAACCTACAGGGTCCACTTTAACACATGGCACAAACTGCCTGGTGTGTCTTTAGCCTCTTCTCAGGGAAGCTGACTTTTCAGAATGGCTGAATAAAAAATAAGGGCAGCACCAAAGGCTGATGGGGATATGTGTAATCTGGATCACTCATACATTGCTCATGGGAATTTAAAATGACACAGTTGGGAGCCAAGATGGCCGAATAGGAACAGCTCCGGTCTACAGCTCCCAGCGTGAGCGACGCAGAAGACGGGTGATTTCTGCATTTCCATCTGAGGTACCGGGTTCATCTCACTAGGGAGTGCCAGACAGTGGGCGCAGGCCAGTGTGTGTGCACACCGTGCGCGAGCCGAAGCAGGGCGAGGCATTGCCTCCCCTGGGAAGCGCAAGGGGTCAGGGAGTTCCCTTTCCGAGTCAAAGAAAGGGGTGACGGACGCACCTGGAAAATCGGGTCACTCCCACCCGAATATTGCGCTTTTCAGACCGGCTTAAGAAACGGCGCACCACGAGACTATATCCCACACCTGGCTCAGAGGGTCCTACGCCCACGGAATCGCGCTGATTGCTAGCACAGCAGTCTGAGATCAAACTGCCAGGCCGCAACGAGGCTGGGGGAGGGGCGCCCGCCATTGCCCAGGCTTGCTTAGGTAAACAAAGCAGCCTGGAAGCTCGAACTGGGTGGAGCCCACCACAGATCAAGGAGGCCTGCCTGCCTCTGTAGGCTCCACCTCTGGGGGCAGGGCACAGACAAACAAAAAGACAGCAGTAACCTCTGCAGACTTAAGTGTCCCTGTCTGACAGCTTTGAAGAGAGCAGTGGTTCTCCCAGCACGCAGCTGGAGATCTGAGAACGGGCAGACTGCCTCCTCAAGTGGGTCCCTGACCCCTGACCCCCGAGCAGCCTAACTGGGAGGCACCCCCCAGCAGGGGCACACTGACACCTCACACGGCCCAGTACTCCAACAGACCTGCAGCTGAGGGTCCTGTCTGTTAGAAGGAAAACTAACAACCAGAAAGGACATCTACACCGAAAACCCATCTGTACATCACCATCATCAAAGACCAAAAGTAGATAAAACCACAAAGATGGGGAAAAAACAGAACAGAAAAACTGGAAACTCTAAAACGCAGAGTGCCTCTCCTCCTCCAAAGGAACGCAGTTCCTCATCAGCAACAGAACAAAGCTGGATGGAGAATGATTTTGACGAGCTGAGAGAAGAAGGCTTCAGACAATCAAATTACTCTGAGCTACGGGAGGACATTCAAACCAAAGGCAAAGAAGTTGAAAACTTTGAAAAAAATTTAGAAGAATGTATAACTAGAATAACCAATACAGAGAAGTGCTTAAAGGAGCTGATGGAGCTGAAAACCAAGGCTCGAGAACTACGTGAAGAATGCAGAAGCCTCAGGAGCCGATGCGACCAACTGGAAGAAAGGGTATCAGCAATGGAAGATGAAATGAATGAAATGAAGCGAGAAGGGAAGTTTAGAGAAAAAAGAATAAAAAGAAATGAGCAAAGCCTCCAAGAAATATGGGACTATGTGAAAAGACCAAATCTACGTCTGATTGGTGTACCTGAAAGTGATGGGGAGAATGGAACCAAGTTGGAAAACACTCTGCAGGATATTATCCAGGAGAACTTCCCCAATCTAGCAAGGCAGGCCAACGTTCAGATTCAGGAAATACAGAGAACGCCACAAAGATACTCCTCGAGAAGAGCAACTCCAAGACACATAATTGTCAGATTCACCAAAGTTGAAATGAAGGAAAAAATGTTAAGGGCAGCCAGAGAGAAAGGTCGGGTTACCCTCAAAGGAAAGCCCATCAGACTAACAGCAGATCTCTCGGCAGAAACCCTACAAGCCAGAAGAGAGTGGGGGCCAATATTCAACATTCTTAAAGAAAAGAATTTTCAACTCAGAATTTCATATCCAGCCAAACTAAGCTTCATAAGTGAAGGAGAAATAAAATACTTTATAGACAAGCAAATGCTGAGAGATTTTGTCACCACCAGGCCTGCCCTAAAAGAGCTCCTGAAGGAAGCACTAAACATGGAAAGGAACAACCGGTACCAGCCGCTGCAAAATCATGCCAAAATGTAAAGACCATTGAGACTAGGAAGAAACTGCATCAACTAATGAGCAAAATCACCAGCTAACATCATAATGACAGGATCAAATTCACACATAACAATATTAACTTTAAATATAAATGGACTAAATTCTGCAATTAAAAGACACAGACTGGCAAGTTGGATAAAGAGTCAAGACCCATCAGTGTGCTGTATTCAGGAAACCCATCTCACGTGCAGAGACACACATAGGCTCAAAATAAAAGGATGGAGGAAGATGTACCAAGCCAATGGAAAACAAAAAAAGGCAGGGGTTGCAATCCTAGTCTCTGATAAAACAGACTTTAAACCAACAAAGATCAAAAGAGACAAAGAAGGCCATTACATAATGGTAAAGGGATCAATTCAACAAGAGGAGCTAACTATCCTAAATATTTATGCACCCAATACAGGAGCACCCAGATTCATAAAGCAAGTCCTGAGTGACCTACAAAGAGACTTAGACTCCCACACATTAATAATGGGAGACTTTAACAACCCACTGTCAACATTAGACAGATCAACAAGACAGAAAGTCAACAAGGATACCCAGGAACTGAACTCAGCTCTGCACCAAGCAGACCTAATAGACATCTACAGAACTCTCCACCCCAAATCAACAGAATATACATTTTTTTCAGCACCACACCACACCTATTCCAAAATTGACCACATAGTTGGAAGTAAAGCTCTCCTCAGCAAATGTAAAAGAACAGAAATTATAACAAACTATCTCTCAGACCACAGTGCAATCAAACTAGAACTCAGGATTAAGAATCTCACTCAAAGCCGCTCAACTACATGGAAACTGAACAACCTGCTCCTGAATGACTACTGGGTACATAACGAAATGAAGGCAGAAATAAAGATGTTCTTTGAAACCAACGAGAACAAAGACACCACATACCAGAATCTCTGGGACGCACTCAAAGCAGTGTGTAGAGGGAAATTTATAGCACTAAATGCCTACAAGAGAAAGCAGGAAAGATCCAAAATTGACACCCTAACATCACAATTAAAAGAACTAGAAAAGCAAGAGCAAACACATTCAAAAGCTAGCAGAAGGCAAGAAATAACTAAAATCAGAGCAGAACTGAAGGAAACAGAGACACAAAAAACCCTTCAAAAAATCAATGAATCCAGGAGCTGGTTTTTTGAAAGGATCAACAAAATTGATAGACCGCTAGCAAGACTAATAAAGAAAAAAAGAGAGAAGAATCAAATAGACACAATAAAAAATGATAAAGGGGATATCACCACCGATCCCACAGAAATACAAACTACCATCAGAGAATACTACAAACACCTCTACGCAAATAAACTAGAAAATCTAGAAGAAATGGATACATTCCTCGACACATACACTCTCCCAAGACTAAACCAGGAAGAAGTTGAATCTCTGAATAGACCAATAACAGGCTCTGAAATTGTGGCAATAATCAATAGTTTACCAACCAAAAAGAGTCCAGGACCAGATGGATTCACAGCCGAATTCTACCAGAGGTACAAGGAGGAACTGGTACCATTCCTTCTGAAACTATTCCAATCAATAGAAAAAGAGGGAATCCTCCCTAACTCATTTTATGAGGCCAGCATCATTCTGATACCAAAGCCGGGCAGAGACACAGCCAAAAAAGAGAATTTTAGACCAATATCCTTGATGAACATTGATGCAAAAATCCTCAATAAAATACTGGCAAACCGAATCCAGCAGCACATCAAAAAGCTTATCCACCATGATCAAGTGGGCTTCATCCCTGGGATGCAAGGCTGGTTCAATATACGCAAATCAATAAATGTAATCCAGCATATAAACAGAGCCAAAGACAAAAACCACATGATTATCTCAATAGATGCAGAAAAAGCCTTTGACAAAATTCAACAACCCTTCATGCTAAAAACTCTCAATAAATTAGGGATTGATGGGACATATTTCAAAATCATAAGAGCTATCTATGACAAACCCACAGCCAATATCATACTGAATGGGCAAAAACTGGAAGCATTCCCTTTGAAAACTGGCACAAGACAGGGATGCCCTCTCTCACCGCTCCTATTCAACATAGTGTTGGAAGTTCTGGCCAGGGCAATCAGGCAGGAGAAGGAAATAAAAGGTATTCAATTAGGAAAAGAGGAAGTCAAATTGTCCCTGTTTGCAGACGACATGATTGTTTATCTAGAAAACCCCATCGTCTCAGCCCAAAATCTCCTTAAGCTGATAAGCAACTTCAGCAAAGTCTCAGGATACAAAATCAATGTACAAAAATCACAAGCATTCTTATAGACCAACAACAGACAAAGAGAGAGCCAAATCATGAGTGAACTCCCATTCACAATTGCTTCAAAGAGAATAAAATACCTAGGAATCCAACTTACAAGGGATGTGAAGGACCTCTTCAAGGAGAACTACAAACCACTGCTCAAGGAAATAAAAGAGGACACAAACAAATGGAAGAACATTCCATGCTCATGGGTAGGAAGAATCAATATCATGAAAATGGCCATACTGCCCAAGGTAATTTACAGATTCAATGCCATCCCCATCAAGCTACCAATGACTTTCTTCACAGAATTGAAAAAAACTACTTTAAAGTTCATATGGAACCAAAAAAGAGCCCGCATCACCAAGTCAATCCTAAGCCAAAAGAACAAAGCTGGAGGCATCACACTACCTGACTTCAAACTATACTACAAGGCTACAGTAACCAAAACAGCATGGTACTGGTACCAAAACAGAGATATAGATCAATGGAACAGAACAGAGCCCTCAGAAATAATGCCGCATATCTACAACTATCTGATCTTTGACAGACCTGAGAAAAACAAGCAATGGGGAAAGGATTCCCTATTTAATAAATGGTGCTGGGAAAACTGGCTAGTCATATGTAGAAAGCTGAAACTGGATCCCTTCCTTACACCTTATACAAAAATCAATTCAAGATGGATTAAAGATTTAAACGTTAGACCTAAAACCATAAAAACCCTAGAAGAAAACCTAGGCATTACCATTCAGGACATAGGCGTGGGCAAGGACTTCATGTCCAAAACACCAAAAGCAATGGCAACAAAAGCCAAAATTGACAAATGGGATTGAATTAAACTAAAGAGCTTCTGCACAGCAAAAGAAACTACCATCAGAGTGAACAGGCAACCTACAACATGGGAGAAAATTTTCGCAACCTACTCATCTGACAAAGGGCTAATATCCAGAATCTACAATGAACTCAAACAAATTTACAAGAAAAAAACAAACAACCCCATCAAAAAGTGGGCAAAGGACATGAACAGACACTTCTCAAAAGAAGACATTTATGCAGCCAAAAAACACATGAAGAAATGCTCATCATCACTGGCCATCAGAGAAATGCAAATCAAAACCACTATGAGATATCATCTCACACCAGTTAGAATGGCAATCATTAAAAAGTCAGGAAACAACAGGTGCTGGAGAGGATGTGGAGAAATAGGAACACTTTTACACTGTTGGTGGGACTGTAAACTAGTTCAACCATTGTGGAAGTCAGTGTGGCGATTCCTCAGGGATCTAGAACTAGAAATACCATTTGACCCAGCCATCCCATTACTGGGTATATACCCAAAGGACTATAAATCATGCTGCTATAAAGACACATGCACACGTATGTTTATTGCGGCACTATTCACAATAGCAAAGACTTGGAACCAACCCAAATGTCCAACAATGATAGACTGGATTAAGAAAATGTGGCACATATACACCATGGAATACTATGCAGCCATAAAAAATGATGAGTTCATGTCCTTTGTAGGGACATGGATGAAATTGGAAACCATCATTCTCAGTAAACTATCTTAAGAACAAAAAGCCAAACACCGCATATTCTCACTCATAGGTGGGAATTGAACAATGAGATCACATGGACACAGGAAGGGGAATATCACACTCTGGGGACTATGGTGGGGTCGGGGGAGGGGGGAGGGATAGCATTGGGAGATATACCTAATGCTAGATGACACGTTAGTGGGTGCAGCGCACCAGCATGGCACATGTATACATATGTAACTAACCTGCACAATGTGCACATGTACCCTAAAACTTAGAGTATAATAAAATAAAAAAAAAATTAAAAAAAAAAATAAAAAAGGAAAATGACACAGTTATGCTGGAAAACACTTGGGCAGTTTAAAAAGAGGAAAAACTGAACATGAAAACTCCCTACAATCATTCCTGGGTATTATCCCAGAGAAATAAAAACTTACATTCACACAAACCTGTACACAACTGTTTACAGCAGCTTTATTCATAATAATCCCAAACTGGAAACAACCCAGATTCAATGTGTAAATGACTAAATAAACTGTGGTGTACATATATACTGTGGACTACTACTCAGCTCTCTAACTATCTATCTATTTATCTATCTATATAAAATATATATATATATACACATATATATACATATGTATAAAATATATATATATGTATTTAATTTTTGAGACAGAGTCTTGCTCTTTCACCCAGGCTAGAGTGCAGTGGCACAATCAAGGCTCACTGCAGCCTTGACCTGGTCAAGGCTTGAGTGATCCCCCTGCCTCAGCCTTCTCTTGAGTACAGAGTGAGCCATGGTGCCTGGCTAATTTTTTATTTTTATTTTTATAAGAATGGGGTCTCACTATGTTGTCCAAGCTGGTCTTGAATTCCTGAGATCAAGCAATCCTCCCTCCTTGGCCTCCCAAATGTTGAGATTACAAGTGTGACTACTGTGCCTGGCAGGAACCAAATTATTGATACATAAAATAAACTGAATGAATCTATAGAGACTTATTCTGACTCAAAAAAGCCAATCTCAAAAAGTTGCATGCTTCATGATTCCAGTTGTATAATATTCTCAAAATGACAAAAATTTAGAAATAAAACAGATTAGTGAGTGCCAAGGATTAAGGAAGGGGTAGGAATATGAGGGAAGGAGGCTATGTCTATAAAGTTGTACATGAATGATTGTTGTGATGATGGGAATGTTTTGCATTTCGAATGTATCAATGTCAGCATCTTGGTTGAGAGGTTGTACTATAGTTTTGCAAGATTTTATCACTGGGGAAAACTGGGTAAAGGGTACATAGGGTCTTTTCATATTCCTCCTTAAAATGCGTATGGAGTAACAACTACATGAAAATAAAAAGTTTTATTATAGAGGTAAAAATTTTAAAAAAATTAATAGTACCAAATAAAGGGCTCAAGGATCATCACTGTTTGGTAAATGTCAGTTTAACTAATGTTAAATAGATTTCCTCATCAAAGAATTTTAGAGAATGCTTAAGAGATTTGTCTCCAGGAGAGGCTGTAGGTACAGAACTGCGAACATTTATATGATCATGAAGCACTTTAGGAATATTATTGACACCTTGTTGAAACCGTGTTGTGAGAAACATGGCACTACTTTTTTATAATAGTCACAGCAAAATAACCAATCTACATTGAGTGTTTTCCATGTTCTAGTGACCCTTTTAAGTGCAGTTTATATGGCAAGTTAATGGAATCCTCATAGAACTCCTTAGAGTGAGAAATTGGGATGCTGATGCTTGGGTCCCACCTAGGGATTGAAGTGTCATAACTCTGGGATGCAGCCATGGGTACTGGGAGTTTTGAAGCCTCACTAGTGATTTTAATATGAAGCCAAAGCCTAGTAAGGCTCTAGTTGAGGTCATTGAGTGGTATGGCCCAGCAGCATCGACATCACCTGGGCATTTGTGATGAATGCAGAATATCAGGCCCCATCCCAGACCTTCTGCATAATAATTTGTGCCTTTACAACTCCCTAAGGTCATTCATTAGTACATTAATGTTTAAAAAGCACCAGTCTAACTCATAGCTAGTATACATTGGAGAGGAGATTTGAACACAGTCTGACTAGGCCTATGGTCCTAAAACCAAAACATAGAGCACATGTTTTATCAAATGATTGAGAATAAATGACTGCAAAGGAAGTGTGCTGAGTGTTGCACTGAACAAGCATTGCAGAATGTGATTGTGGAAACAGTGACACCAACATGTGAAGTGATGCTCCTATCTTGTTCTCAGCTGTTGAGTCCATTATTGGGTTGATGCTCTAGTGTGCCACACATTAAGAAAACTGCTAATGGCATCTGAGGTGACATGCAATGGAGAAGGGCTTAGGAAGCATTTCAAACAAGAAATAGACAATAAATATGTGAAGAAGCAGATGAGGGTGCAGTATAACCAACTGTTCTTCTGTTAGTGGTAACTCACATTGTCATTGGATGCCCATACAGGTGTGTCAGTCCTGGTTACTGGAATATTGAATTGTGACTGATTGATTTTGCTGTGAAGATTCTATGAAGAGAATACCAATTGGATGACTGTATTGTTCTTCTGTGAGTCTATTTCAAGCTAAATTTGATATGGTCTCTGTCCACTGGGAATTCGTAATTTCAAAAATTCTCTCTGCATCCCCCTTCTTCTGTTCTCATCTTCCCACTTACTTTGTATACAAAATTAAATTAGAGATTTAGTAGAAACAGAAATGAATGAGAACATTTTTATACATCAGGAATGTAAAACCAGTAGAGAAGGGTGGGGTACAGGAAACCATTATATATAACATAAAGCCAAAGAAAACAATCAGTAGAGGTGGAAAGTCTCCAATAATGCAGAAAGAGGAGTAATTATATACCAAGGGAGGGTTTAGGGTATTATTCACAGGGGAAAGAAATGGCGTGTTCATTCTCAGCCTTGTTGTGTACCAAAATTGTAGAGCATTCAGAACGGTGTTGCCTTGTTTAGGAATGCATACAACTCGAGGTGTGAAACTGAAGACTGTGTCAAAATATAAGGTGCATTTAAAGAGGTGAGGAATAAAATGAAGTTGGAAGGGGTAGGAAGAAGCCACATTGTGGAGGCTTCTGAATGCCAAACTGTGAACACAGAACTTTATTCTGTGGATGATGGGGTACCCTTGGATGTGTTGAGTTACAATGGAGAGCTTAGAAGCATGCTGCCTGAGTTGGTAGTCCAACGCTGCCACTTGCTGGCTGTAAACATGGCAATAAAGCCCTCAACTTTCTAAGCCTCAGTTTACCCATTTGTGAAGTAGAGATAACTCAAAGGGTTGCCATAGGCATAAAATAATCCATGTAAAGCTCTGAACATGGTGCTTGGCTTGTAGTAAATTCTCAGTAAGTACTTTGATGATGACAATGACCTGAGTATAGGAAGACACCCTGATAGTGGTGAAATGGATTGAAGAGATGAAGCTTGCAAGATGGCACAAAGTCTTCCAGGACCCCCCTTATCTGTCTGGGCCTCCAAGGAGGCCAAATAATGCCATCCATGAATCTGATTCAATAGCAGAAATGGTTTTGCATTCTTCTCATGCTGCATTATTCCTGGACCTTAGGTGGGCTCCCAGGAGTCCATTTAACATGTCAGAATACAGATTTAACAGTGAGGAAATCTATTTCATTACACTAAAAAAAATATAGACTTCCAGCCTTAGCAACTCAGAATGCACACTAATTACAGCTTATAGAGCAAGTGGATTAAGATGTAGGGGGAGGTTTTCCTAAGTCAGAAAATTAAATAGAAACAGAATGAAAATTCTGGAGCAAATTGAGACAACACCCCTAAGGATTCTACAATGAGATACTTTCTGGTGTCAAAATACCTTAGTGTTTCTTAACAGGGGGGCTTGTTAGTCCTCTGGAAGGACTCTTTCACCATTGCAGGACTGTACAAAGCACGGAGGATATTTTTGGGTCTTGGTACTCATGAAAAGCCAGGATCATTTCTGAGTCCTTGTGATAATCAAATGCAACAACTTCCCACCCACCACAACATAAGCACAGCACATGTTTCCCAACGTTCCAAGAGGGTGGAAGGTAGGTACCCCCTAAATAAGAACTATTATGAAGATGCTATCTATTTAGAGAAAAGGCTAGTTGGATGCCACCTCTATTCAACTATAGCTTATTTCACAAGTGAGGAGTGAAACTTACCAGCCTGACCTTGAATCAGAAAGTTTCCCTTTCTGTTATCTCAGTTTCCTTTCTTGCAACATGGAAAAAAGAAAAACAAAAATGTACTGAGCTTTAACCATGCAGGGGCATCATAATGTTACCTATCTGAAGGTTTATCTGAGGATTGGCACTTTGGCATCCTGTCTAGTTCATAGTACCCAATAGTAACAATTGTTTTTTACTACCTTTAATCGTATCTAAGATGCCATGGATTGTAAAATGTCTTATCACTTTATATACACTACGAGAAAAAAATGTTGCTGATTAAATGGTGACATATTGTTCTATTATTGAGAACATATATACTTTAGATTTTCCTAGAGACATTTTTCTCACATTACTCTTGTACATATACAAAACCCAAACATGAACAAAGAAAGTTATTCCTAAAACTTCACACTCAGAATCCAACTCTTTTAACTCAGTCATCAATGCCAATTATTAGCACAGGAGATCATTCTTTCTGCTACCAAAAGTAATGAAGACAGAGCATTTTTTAAAAGAATCTGCACAGGAACAAAACCCACAGGTGCTAGGCTCTTTTTTGATTATGTAGAGCAAGCCTACTTGCAAGGGCAGCTTCAGGAATGTTGGGAAACAACTGATTCACTGCTGCCCCACTCCCTCCCACAACCATTTGTCTCCTTCTGGTTCAGAGTGTTTCTTTCCTGCCTTCAGGATTTTCTTCTAAGTTACTGACACCCATTCTGAAGTTTTGATGCTTCAGTTGTTGATGTTTCCAAATGCCCAGAAATGATAACATGAGTACAGCTCAAGCCTGACTTGGGTGACAGAGATTACAAAGCACTATGGGCTGCAAAGTGCATTCTGATTTCAGAAATGTTAAAAGGTAGGAAAAGGTGCATTTCTGAACAGATAAAAAGTAAAAATGTGCATTGTTTTAGCTAAAAATGTGTGCATAAAGTACATTTGTATTTAAAATAATCTTACCATGAAAACTCTTGCACGTGAGAACTTGCCATATAGTTCCCTGTTATTCAAAGTATCATCATTTACAGACCAGTACATGGAAACTTGTTAGAAATATAGAATCTGGGTCCCTACCCCACACTTACTAAATTCAAATCTGCATTTTAACAAGATTTTCAATTGTTATGCACATCCAACTTTCAGAAACACTACTTTCTGAATGTAGTACTTGACTGGTCTGCACTAGTGGGATCTTCCTGTATAAATAGGCACATCTTCCCCAGCTTGTGCTCTCTGTCCTGCCCTGCTGCTCCAGGTCACAGTGATGAACCTTACTGGAAGGTCTTTTTGTATCAGTTACAAGAACTATGAAATGTTATTATATTTACCCTTTCCATCTATCTCATCACACTTAAGGGAGACAAAGCACAGCTTTAGAAAAACTTTACCCCCAGCTATATCCTTTTCTAGAAGGTACTTCAAGGCTAGCAGGAGGGGGCAGATTCTTAAATAACTGCCTGCTTTGAGGGCTACACTTCTTACCAATATTCAAAAACGTGTTCCACATATAAACCCTAATGCAACTGCCTTTGCAAAAATTATATCAATGAGAAAATGATGGCAGTGAAGAAGATCTGATCTTGGCCAACCCCTGTCTTGCCTTTGGCCTTTAAGCTGCCCTTCAGTTTTCCTGGGCTTGTACCAAGCTAACTTGGGGAGACATTTTGTTTATAGTTTAAATGACGATAGCCCTTTCCCAAAACTCAACTGCCTTTGTAAAGCAGAGAGACCACTAGGCTAGGTGGATAGAGGAGCCTGAATTCTGCTAAGGTGTAGACATAAATGATTGCCAGCCATTATTCCAGAGGTCACAAGATATGACATGCAATTTACCCAATTGCTCCTGCAGATGATATCACTATTGTGGAACCTAAGATTGGCCTTTTGAGATACTTTTTCAGGTTTTTTGCATGTCTACTGATGGCTCCACCTGAACACACCAACTGCTCTTTGGCCCCACCCAGAAGCTACTCAGTGTGTATGAGGACCACTTCCCACACTCCTATGATTGCACCCCCAACCAATGAACAGCAATCACCCATTGCCTAGCACTCCTACCGCTTCCCCCAAACTATCCTTGAAAGGCCCTAGCACCTAAATTTTCTAGGAGGCTGATTTTAGTAATAATAAAACTCTGGTCCTCATTTAGCCAGTTCTATGTAAAACTTCTTCTCTCTTGGAATTTCACTACCTTGATAAATCAGCTCTATCTGGGCATCAGGCAAGAAAGACCCATTGGGTGGTTACACTAATGATGGTAGGACGATTAACTGTCCTTTCCTGGTTTGGCTTTTTAAAATTCAACAGTTGACTTTTAAAAATTGAAGTTTGGGAAAGAGTAGCTCAAAGGAGTGTCAGAGGCATGCCTGGAGGCATCATTCCAGATCCAGTGTGTTTGTCTCCACCTCATTTAGCAACTTCTGTTTTAGAAACTCACCCTGAAAACAGGCCACTGTTTCTACTTTTGCTTTTCTCCCTATCTCAAAGCCAGTCTTCAGCTATGTTAATAGAGACAGAGGACCCAAAACTTAAATTTTGTAAGCATAAATTGTCAGCTAGTGACCTTAAAAAAAAAAAAAAAGCCTCACCTCAGGGTACTACTGCAGGCTAAGTAAGGTTATTAGAATCAAGGTCAGGCCCAGAACTGAGGGGACTATTGTTTTGAGGGGAAGGAGCAGAGCCTTTGCCTGTGGGTTTCCCTATGAGTTTAGTCATCCGTGGGTCTAAAATACGGACCCTACCTAAGATGTTGGTTTTGTGAAGTCATTTCTAGCATTATCAACTTTCACTTTTCTAGTAATTCTCTTCTTTTGATGTTTCCATTGGAATCACTGTAACCCTAACAGTGGCTATACAAGAGTCTTCATCTCTTATTTTTTCATTCATCCACTTCATTCACTTGTCCTCAAGCTAAGGACCTCTGTGTGCCAAGTATCGGGAGACCAGAGAACACACAAACGTGGCCCTTCTCCAAGGGAGCCAGCACTCAAACACACAAGATAGGCAATTAAGAAAGTAATCATAAGAAATTACAAGCATGGTTTGATAAATCTAGGGCTTCTGAGGTCACATGAGCACCCAATATAAATTTAAAAATGAAAGAATAATTGTCAAAACAGTTTGAACAGAATTGGAAATTTTTTTTAAAGACACATGATGAACGTTTTCTTTCTTTTTAACGTGGGCTGCACTTTTTCAAATGTGCATTCCTGGTTAAACAAGCATTTCTGCAGTCCCTGTTCCCTGCAACATGCCAGGAAATAGAACTCTTCTGTTTTACCCTGCTCTGAGATGTCAGAGAAAGCTTCCTAGGGGAAATGACCTCCAATTGAGGACTGGATAATCAGGAGTTGCTACTGAAGCTGGGCAGAAGAAGAAAGCATTCGAGAATGCTGAGGTAACAGGCAAGAAGCAGATTTCACAGCCATTTTAAAAACTGCCATTAGCAGCACCTGAGAGCTTTTAAGATACAATCAACACGTGTATTTGTCTCCTAGGGCTTCTGTAACAAACTGGGTGGCTTCTAACAACAGAAATTTATACTCTCAAGCTCTGGAAGCTAAAAGTTCAAAATCATGCTTGCTCTTACAGATTCTGGGTTTTCTGTTAAACCTTGGCATTTCCTGGCTTGTGCTGAGTAACTCCAATCTCTGCCTCTGTTGTCACCTGGCTGTCTTTCCTCCTGCATGTCTGTGTCTTCATGTGGTGGTCTCTGCTCTGTGTGTTTGTCTCTCATCTCTCATAAGGACATCAGTCTTACGTGGACTAAGGATCTTACCTGCCAGATAGTAATGGGAGAAATCAACAGATGACTTGCTCTGTCCAAACACAGCCCTGGGCAATGTAAAACCCCCAGGTGATATCAAGGGTGCATTACCTCGCTGATAGCCCCTCAATGTATGCTTTGGGGAATAGCATACTTCCTAATTTGAGGTGGGCAACAGTAAGACACCAGGGGCATAACGTTAACTAGGCTTACCAGAAACCAATTTCTTAAAAATGAGCAAATAAATAAAAACTATTCTAAATGTTAAGAAGCAAATGAGGAAGCTGGGATGGGGGATGGAGGATGAATAGTGGTGGGATGATCATACAATTATTGCAAAGTAATGAGTGTGGCCTTTCAATATACTAGCAGGTTCCTTGGGGTTTGACAGCAGTCCCAATGATGCTTCAGGATCATTCTGAATTCCCCCTAATTAAGCAGGGATGAGAGCAGGAGAGGACTTTCTGCTTTTCTTAAGCAAAAATGGCTGAAAACACAAAGTGCCTCCAAGCTGGTGACCTTAAAGAGGATGGGGTTGTAAGTTTAAAGGGCAAAGGCACAGGCAGTGGGAGAGGTGGAAGTGGAGGTGTTGGTGCCAAAGAATCCTTGGAATCTTAGGGTCCTGGAGCTAGGTGAGTACTTAGAAACAAGACATGCTATATTGTAAGGTCCAAAATTTCGTGTGTTTCCTTTACATCTTTGAACCTTACAGGATCAGCAGACCTAACCATGAGTTTCCCTGATCTCTCCAGATAAGTCCAGCAGCCGGTGGGAAAGACTCCCCAGCCAGCTAGTTCCCTTATCCGCCATAAAAGCTGCATCCCACCCAGTCCTCAGCCTCCATCTCAGCCTTCACATTTATTCAGACAAGCCAATCATATTCTCCCACAGAAACCAGGGGGCACTTTATCTTGTCATTACTATAAAGCCCCTGCTGGTTCACTCTGCTCCTGAGTACAATCCTGGTTTATCCCTGCATGGTGTGTGGTATACTCCTCCCATGATGTGAGTCTGTGTGATTAATAAATTGCTGCGGATCTCATCTGTCTAATGACAGGTGTCTGCCTGCCCAGAATGCTAGGGCAGGACTCCCTCCCTCATTAATGGGGTAAAGAAGAGGTGAACCACCGGGTGTGGTGGCTCACGCCTGTAATCCCAGCACTTTGAGAGGCTGAGGTAGGTGGATCACTTGAGGTCAGGAGTTCGAGACCAGACTAGCAAATATGGTGAAACTTTATCTCTACTAAAAATACCAAAATTAGCTGGGTGTGGTGGCTCATGCCTGTAATCCCAGCTACTTAGGAGGCTGAGGAAGAGGAATCACTTGAACCCAGGAGGCAGAAGTTTCAGTGAGCCGACATCATGCCATTGCTGTCTAGTCTAAGTGATGGAGTGAGACCCGGTCTCAAAGAAGAGGTGAACAAAATACCTACACCTTCATGTTTTAGAAGGAGAAACTAAGTTTCAGAGAGAAAGAACTGATTCGACAAAGTTCTTAATAGTAGGAATAACACTAATATCAAAAATAAATAACCTTTAGTGCTAAGCATTGTTTTAAGCATTTTTTGTACACGTATTATTTAATCTTCACCATAAACTTTACCCACCTCATTGTTACTAACAGGATGCTCGTGAGGAAATTTGGCACAGAGAAAGCAAGTTACATGTGAATTGCTGGGATTCAAACTTAGTGCCTGGGAATTCCTTAGCTATATTCTTGTTACTGTGCAAAACTCCTTATGTGGATTATCATTTAAAAGTCTTGTTATTCTCATCTATAAGTCTTGGTTTGGAAAGTTTTGATAATTTACTCAAGGTTACAAAGATAGTAGATGATAAAATTGGAACTTGAACTCCATCCTGATGTCTGTGCCCATCCTTTTAACTACCCTATTCTGGAATCTAAGGCTGGAGACTCCTAATCAGTGTTCTTTTCACTGTAACATGCTATGGAGCTGGGTGGTTGGGTGGAGTGAATGGAAAAAAGCATCAAAGAGAGATACTATTATCAGAACTCAGAGAGGGCTCTAGAAGAGATAAAATTCTTCTCTTTTCCTATGTTCCCTTTAATGTGCATTGGTTACAAGATTAAGGGCTCTATCCACACATATGCTTATTTTGTAGCAATATTTTACATAATAGTATTGTACTAGGTGCAGTGCTAAATGTTTTATGGTAGCTATTATCCCCATTTTACAGATATGGAAATGGCTACCAGGAGTTCTTTTTCTTATGCAGCAAAATGATTTACAACAGTATTTTAGGCTCCAAACTTGTTAAGAAACTGAGGTTCAGTTTCTTATATAAGACAGCAATTACAATTATAGCCACCTGTTAGGGTACTTGGGATTAAATGAGATGCTCATTGTAAGCCTTTAAGTAGTACCACTTAAGTAGGTGTCAGTAAATACTTGATAAGTGAGAGCTCATGATTCCCTGGCACTTCAGAGATGGGGTGGAAGAACCTTAAGGTTCATCCCTTCAACGTCCTCATTTTCTATTAATCTCAGAGTGGGAAAAGAGACAGGCTTAAAGTCACACCACAACCAGATGCTCGGATGAAAACTATGCGAAGTTGATTTTGTGTGGTAAAATTTCTATATCAGTGTGGTAAATATTTTTCTCCTTTTTAATTTTATGTACTTATGTAGGGATATAAGTGGGAGGACAGATCTGGAGTCTTAGTTGGCGGTTATCTTCAAATCTTAACTATGAGAAGTGATTAATTTTCTTCTTTCCAGGCAAGGCTAATTCTAGTCTTCGAAAAATGAAGATTAGTGACTAGGAAGGAACAACATGAAGAAGTAGTCATGTAGTTAGAAATAGGGTCAAAATTTTTAGATAAACTTATTTGACAAACCTTAATGTCTACTAAGGGCTGTAGAATATTACAGTAATGCCACTAACACTTTCAGGGGTCAATGCTGATAATGTTTATGTTTGAATGAAACTTAGTGCTTTATCCAGGGATTTTCTACTCATTATGATATTTAAGGTATTAGATTAGGTCATTAGTTCCCATATATTTAAATTTCAGGAGCAAAATTTGAAAAGGAAAGATAAAAGAAATCTCTGATATTATTAACACACTGAACTGGGGTCGACTCACCTGACATAGTCAAGCCAAACAACCATGCTGAAATTTGCCATGGGGGAAAGAAGGTATTTATTTGCATGACGCCAAGCAAGGAGAATTGAGCAGCTCTCACTTACGACCCAACCTTCCCAATGGCTTGCAAGGAAGGGTTTTTAAAAGCAAGGGTAAATTTCAGTGAAGCAGAAGTCATAAGCAAAACAGTAAATCAGTACATGAAGGCTGTACATTGGTTTGGCAGGAATAGGTGGGATATCTTGAAGTGGGGACTTATAGGTAGATTCAAAGATTTTCTGATTTGCAGTTGGTTAAGAAGGAGAAGCTTTGTTTAAAAATTTGGGGTTAGTATGTTTGGAGAGTGTTAATTCTGGCCTGGGGATATGACTTCCTCCCGGTCCCTCAGGAAGAACTTAAGAACCAAAAATAGTGGTCAGAATTCGGTCCTCAGTTTCCTTTTATTTAAGGTACATAGACCTCAGTGAATCCATATGGTGGAGGTCCGGGTTTCTAAAGAACAACTCAGGGACATATGTGAAGATGTTATCTTTAGTTACTGTAGGAAGCCAAACATTCCATGACTCTCCCTTGGTTATTGTTTTAAGCTACTATTACCTTCTTGCTTATCAAGTTGTTCATTGACTCCTCAGAGCAAGCTAAGTGACTGGAATTTCTCTTAAATAAACTCAAAATTTTTATTCTTATGCTTGGTTGGGGGAGTGGGCACAGACCCTTAAGAGTAGTCTCTGCTTTTTCTCAACATGGAATAGCCAAATATTTTCCACCCAATTAAATATTTAAGGAACAAAAACAAAACATACTACCATTTACAATCACAATAATATTTATAAGAGGAAGGATATTTTAACACCCCAAATATAGGAAATGCATGAGCTCAGAATGAAAGATACTGATTTAAATGGAATATTTTAGATTTATGAAGAACTCTGTCATTATGTTCCTAGTTTTATTCTGGGTGATGTCAAGTGTCCCTGACCACCCTTCAGTAACCCAATAGACTAGGATTGGGAGTCTCAAAGCAGGAATGGGGTGTGAGAGTTGCTCATCCCCACCCTGAAGGGATTAGATTACAGTAACCCAGTGAGCTTTTTCTCAAATCTATCTATATCCTATAAAGACTCATGACTATTATGAACTACAGTTTTTAGGAATGGACATAGGACTTTGTCATATCCCCCAAGCAGTGTGTTGTTGTAGAAAAGACAAAACTCCAAAATGAAGCTACTGATCATCTAATTCAGGAGTTATTGACAAGTGTCCATTCCAACAGCACCTATGATTTCACATCCATGGAATTTACCTGGTACATTCACTTGATGCTCTGGACAAGTACAGAGTGACAAGATGTGGAAGAGCAAAAAAAGAATTATTTAGTGCAACCTTCCATTCAATGCACATCTTTTTTCCTCTCTATCTTCCAGTACTTGACAGAATCACAAAACCACCTCTTCAGATTCAGGCTTGATTGGTTTACCAGGTACCTGCTTGTGCCAGGAATTGAGCTAGGTAGTTTGTATGTTCTCTCTCCATTAAGAACTTTGAGCTGCTGTAGCCATCTCCTCCCAGATGAGGCAACCAAGGCACTGGAAGGCTCCGTGCTTGTGATATGGCCAGTTGACACAGGAAATGCTCTTACTTGTATTTTTCATATGGGGATGTTCTGTAACCGAGGGCCACCTTACAGTCTCACTCTTTTTCTTTTGTTTGTGCTGTGCTTCTGTTCATCATTTTAATACGGCATTTCTCTACCCACACGTCCCCTCAAGTCCCCTCACCTATTTCTATAATCGATGTAGAGCAGCACCTTGGTGGCAAGCAAAGCACCATAATGCAGTGGTTTATAGAGTAGGCTTTGCAGTGACCTTGGGCAGTTGCCACCTCTGTGCCCTCATTTCCTGACTGTAAAATGAGCAGCATAATAGCACCTGCTTCACAGGGTTCTTGTGAAACAAAGTGAATATAAACAATTAACCTAGTTCGTGACATGGCAGTATCTTTAGTATTAACTCTTAGTATTATTCTTATGCATATTTTATATATTTATAGACTTATAATTCAATTTAAAATACGAATTTATTGTATATTGCATATAATTTCCCAAAAAGATCTGACAGCTGTCTTTTAGACTCGCCTCAGAGATAATGAGGTGGTAACCTGGCCTAGGCTTTTCTGCTCCTCTCATCGGGGCTCATATTCCACAAGGCTGCATGGCCTCTTCCTTTGTGGACCTTCTTCACCTATAGCACAGACTTTTAGACTCTTATTCTGCCATAGCCACTTAAGGTAAATCATAAACACGGCATTCCAATTAACTTGCAGGTCTTGGGATGGATGAAGAATGTTTATCTTTCATTACTGGTTTAACTCTGCGACCCACGTAAGAAAGTAAACAAGTTTTTGGGCTTTACCTGCGTAGGTTTCATGGAACTTCTGGGAGCACGTGCTGTTGCTTTTCCCCTTCCACCTTCTGGATCACACGGTGATTTAATAGCTGAGAAAACACCTCAGTGGCATGCAGGTCTGAGTGATTTCATGGTTTTCCCTAGGCTTGGTTCCTGTAAAGCTACTGGTGACAAAGGCAAGGAAGAGCAGTGAGCATAAAATGGTAGAGAAAGACAGGCCAGTGCCTTAAGTGTAGTTGACACTTAGTCTTTTATTGAATGTGAATGGCTGGAAAAATTATGTATTCAAGAGGGTGTTCCAGTTCAATGAAGTGTGAGTGGGACTCTGTATG